>NC_000006.12:2635757-2787272 GCF_000001405.40 Homo sapiens | reverse complement strand
TCTCTTCTGCTCACTGATGTGTTTTAACATCAACAAGAATGCTCAGCATAAAACAGGCACTCAATATTTATTGAGGCCGGGCGCGGTGGCTCACGCCTGTCATCCCAGCACTTTGGGAGGCTGAGGTGGGTGGATCACCCGAGGTCAGGAGTTCGAGACCAGCCTGACCAACATGGTGAAACCCCCGTCTCTACTAAAAATACAAAAATTAGCCTTGTGTGGTGGTGTGCGCCTGTAATCCCAACTACTTGGGAGGCTGAGGCAGGAGAATCGCTTGAACCTGGGAGGTGGAGGTTGCAGTGAGCCGAGATCGCATCATTGCCCTCCAGCCTGGGAAAAAGAGCAAGAGTTGGTCTCATAAATAAATAAATTTATTGAATAAAAAAAGAAACTTCCCTAGAACTGAAAGGAGTTTCCAGATTGAAAGGCCCAACAAGTACCCAGTGCAGACTTTTAAAACACGGGGAGCAAAGACAGAAGAGTCTACAAGTTGATAGAGGTTACAAACAAAAGACCACACACATCAGGATGCCTTCAAACTTGACAACAATGTGGGAAAGTGTAAAACAATGCACAAGTAATTTCTTACCTACAATTTATTACTAGCCAAACCCTCAGACACGTCTGAAGGTACAATAAAAGCATTTTGAGTCTCCTGAGGTCTAAAAATACTTTTCCTCCACACACCCCTGCTCCATAAAGCTACTAGAGGGTACATGCCACCTGTGCCAGAAAGCAGTCAGTCCTGTCATCAGATGGGGTGCAGGGAGAAGCAGAGGAAAGCTCCAGGGTGATGATGAAGGGAGATTCTGGGGATGGCAACTGCACACTGCAGTGCAACCACTCCAGACAGAAGGAGGGAGGCCAGTCGGGCCAAGCCTCTGCAACATACAGTCCCTCCAGCCTGATAAAACTACTAGAGGATGGGTTGCACTGAAATAGCGGAATAAACCAGTAAGGCGGGATGGAGCATCCAGAAAATGGGCATCTCACTCAGAATAAAGGCAGAGGACGTCCCAGGCCAACAGCCGGCAGCCTTCCAGACATGGCAGGAGGACCCCAGGAGGGATCACGCAACAGCAGGAGGAGAACCGACTACCTGAAGGGGCCATCCTTGTGGGCATATGCACGACATGCAACTAAGGAGAGGGAGAGGAAGTAGCAGTAGGGACAAATAACTCTTAACTGAGCAGAAGGAGTGGCGTATTTTGTGTTCAGGACACACATAAAGTAAAAGAAAAACGACTGTTTAGAAATATGGAGCTGCAAGAAGAAACCAGGACAAGTGGGAAAAAATGGGCATGGGACTACTGGAGTCTTCCACAAGCCATTTAAAGAATTCCTTTATGTATTCCTTTAAAGAGATCAGAGTTAACTTTCAACAAGATAACACTGACTTCTTAACTTAAGCTCCCCACTCTTCCCATCTGGGGTGATTTCTCCTTCCCAGTATCCACCCACCAAATGCAATGGTGACAACGCTGGTACCTAGCATCCAGGCAGGAAAACCATGACAGAATCGAAGAGTACTTTGAAATAGTTTTATTGGCTCGTAAGACCTTTGCATATAAAAAAAATACCCAAAACACTATGCAGTATTAAATCACAATTACATTTTTTTACCAATTAAAACTACCCAGAATATACATTTTTTAAAGAAAAGAAAATCCTACAGAACTGAATTCTGAAATGACATTATGACTTAAATACTATGACAAAATAGATAATTCCTTATAACATTAATTCATTGCACAAAGCTGCCAGGTATTTTCATAAGCATAACCGCTGCACCGAGTGCAAATGAACACAATTTCAAAGTTACACATTTATTCGAAAGAACTGCGCCTCCACCTATGGAACTCTTAAATTTCTGGCACAAAATGTTGGTCTGTTCTAACTTCCACCAGGCAACCAACTTTGCAATCCACTAACTTTCTTTCTGGCCCTCCCTTAAAAAAGCAACATCCTTCTGCTGTCGTGCCCTGAGGAGTCAGCACCTCCTCTGCTTGAAGAAATCTACCCCCCTCAACTCTTCAGGCAGGTACTCCTGATCCACAGGCTCGCTGTACATGGGGTTGTACTTGTAGCCTTTGCCATAGCCCAAATCCTTCATCAGCCTAGTGGGCGCGTTCCTCAGGTGCAGGGGCACGGGGGGCAGTGGCCCCTGGTGGTTCCTCAGGCAGGCTTTGACGTTGTTGTAGGCGCTGTACACCTCAATGGACTTTGGGGCTCTGGCAAAGTAGACCACACACTGGGCCAGAAGCACCTACCAATGACACAGAGGACACATTTTACTAGCAAGATGCCAAGCTTCTGTTCTGCAGAGCCCCTTCTGATACACAGCTCTAGGTAATTCTGAGAAGATCCCCACATGCTTTTATTATCCCCCTTTTGCGCCTACAGTCTGGATAACCACCTACGACAGACAGAAGAAATTCTCATGAGGTGAAACGAGAGGCAAACCAGGTGAGTGGTTTTCATTTTTTTTTTTAACTGAAGGACTTTTTACTACATTAAATTTTTCTTAAGCCCCCAATATATAAAAGAGATGAATATGAAGCTGCTCTGGGGGCGAACTTGCAGAGGCTTTGCTGTTCAGCTCCTTTAACCTTTCTGCTCCCTGGAACATATGGAGCATGTGCTCTGAACCCCGGAATCCCGAGAACAGTTTGAAACATGACCTCGTTGACACAGAAGGTTTCCCTCTCTAGGAGTCTAAGAGTCTACAATTGGAATTCCAAAGCCAAGCAGCATACTCAGTGGGTCCAATACACCAATGGTGAAGGAGGGACATTTATTCAAATCTACAAAGGGACAGAGCACGAGAGAGAAAAGAAGTGATTTGCAAGAAATGAGCTGATTACTTTACCTCACATTCAGGCATGCCTATAAAATGACAGCCTTGGTAGGCAGCAACCGCTTGTGTTAACGCAGACGGGTCTGCCAGACCTGCCACACACAGAGACAAAGGAGAGTTTCAGTCATGACACACACTGTCCTCCTGGCCTATGTGCAGGCGACCACAGACCACCACTGCTTGTACACTTGGTGACCAAAACAATCCCATGTAGCAAAACAGCCTGACTTAGCTCTAGTCTCTGATCCCATGAACTTATGCAAGAAATATTGAGAGTGGTTACTGTGTGGTGTTAAGAACTGTTTCCTTGTGGATAAAAACTCTGCATCTAGAAAAACATGAGTCTCTGTATAACAAACATAAGAAGTGAAGGCTATGGAGACATTCACCAGGATGGAAACACTAAAAACAAAACATCCCCTAAGACCAAAGAAGAGGAGAGCTTTCCTGATCTTTTTCTTCATATAGTGTCTAGAGTCTTCCATTTCTACCTTGGGAGCTGTCCAAAGAAAACCTTGAACACCTGACTTAAAGCAAATTTAAAAGCAGCTCATCTATTGCAATACTCTGAATAGCCACTCATGTTAGTAAAAACATTCCCGAAGAGGAAACAGAAAATGGTGACTTTATGAACATAAACATTCAAAAGCACATACACCAGGAAATAAACGACTGAGCTCAGGCATAAAGTCTTATCTTCTCCTGCCAGTCTCACATAGCCCTGAGACATTCTTCCTGCTACCCCCGCCCACCCCGCCCTGCAAAAAAAAAAAAAAAAAAAGCCACGATGTAACTGTTAGCCATTTCCCCACCCTCATGGACATAGGACTCCGGGACCCTCCCATCACACTCACCTATGTCCTCGCTGGCAAACCTGACAAGCCTCCGTGCCACGTAGAGTGGGTCCTCTCCTCCCTCGAGCATGCGAGCCAGCCAGTAGAGGGAGGCGTTCTGGTCTGAGCCCCGCATGGACTTGTGCAGGGCGGAGATGCAGTTGTAATGCTCCTCACCTGACATCACAAAGAGCACCACTCACACAGAGCTCACAGGAGGGGCGCCCAAGCCATCTTCACCTCCGCCAGCTGACTTCCAGAAAGCCTGAACGAATAAAGGCCCTGAGAAAGCCGAGGAGAGGTTTGGGCAGCTGCCTTAACCGTGCTCTGAGTGGGGTGCACCAGCTGCTGGGGCTTAATCCCAGTCCTATTCAGGGGAAGAGGCTGCTGCAGCAGAAACCTGTGGCTGTCGACATGGAGTGCACGCACACGCACAGAGGCAGGAGGGAGGAAAGGTGGTCCTCCCAGCTGGTGGATTTGCCAGAGACAAGAGTGGAGGGGGACGAGTCTTCTGTTCTGGCTCTATCCCGTGGCCCACCATCTACTGGAGGAAAAGCAACGGTGGGCCTGCTCGGAGCCAGGAGGATGTAGAGCCAAGTGGCAAGGGCAGCTGTTATAGCCCATCTGTTCCTCAGTGTCATTTCCAGCTGCCTTTCTGATATCCGAAGCCTGTGGTCATTTAAACCTCCTTCTGCCAGCCTTGGTGTGGGGACACCTGTGTGGCAGGGTCCCAGAAGGACCGACACGTGGACTAACCAGCTTCCGCCCTGAAGTGGACGGAAGCCCACTCTCTCACCGCCTGGTCTTACTACTCCATTTTTACCCTAGATTCACATGAAATCAGTGAAATGTGCTTTAAAAAAAGGCATATTTAAGGGCAAAAAAATGACAGCTAAACAGTTCTCAGGAACTAAGCAGTGGCACCTGCATACATTTCACTATTCTCTGGCCATCGTCCCTTAGGTAAGTTCAAGGAGGGGGCACCCTCCTCACGAGAAAGCGGAGGATGGTGTTCCCGTGAGTCTCACTCCTCCCAGAGGAGCACCTGGTCTGTGCTCAGCATAAGCCCATGTCCACAATACGACTGGCGCCAGCCACAAACCCTGGCAGCTGAGCTCGCTGGTAAGATGACAGTTGGTCTTCAGGTGGAGAAGAGAGCAAGCGAAGATGCTGGCCTCCCACAGGGGAAAGACCTGCAGGACCCACGGCTCAGCCTGAGTGATTCTGGTTTCTGAGAGCCAGGGCAGATGGATGGGTCAGCCCAGCTACTGGATTTCTGAGAACAAACTGAGTGTCTCCTGTGCAGGGCTCCCCTGGTGAAGTCAGAGTGCTATGGACACTGGCCGAGAGGGTGTCCTGGATGACATCTGCATGGTTCTGGCCCACTCCCTCACCCTGCTGGCCCAGGCACTCAGGCTACGCTCTGCTCCTCTGCAGGGTGGAGGAAGGCGGGGAAGAGGGTAGCAGGTAACAGGCCTGGCTAAACTCACGGGCATGGGGGCTGGAAGAAACTACCCACACCACTTTATGTCAAATTTAAACTCCCCCTACACAGGTTAGTCATCTTTTCCCACTTTGTCAATGCCAGGGGCAATACCACCAGTATAATGGACAAGAGCACAGGCTCTGGGACCAAACAGCCTGGGCTGGACCCCCAAGCTCATGGGCCATGGGCAAGTTCCTGATCCTCACTGTGCCTCAGGTTTCTCATCTGTAAAATGGGAAAAACGAGACCACTTACCTCACAGGGCTGTATTAAATAACACACGCCTGGCACAGAGCAGGCACTGTAAAAAGATTCTTTTGCATCAGTGATAGATACTAGTATTATTCTATGCTACCTTCCATGTTTGCTTTTATTACACACTGCTTTATAACCTGAAATCTGACGACTTCTATAGAACCCCGATGTCAATGCATGGCAGAGAGTTTGCTCTCATTTAGAAATTCCTTCACTCTGATGCAGAAACATCACTGGATCCTACTAGTGGGTAACTATGAACTAGGTGGCATATACAAAAATAATCACAACTCTGGGGGTGGGTCTTTGTCTCACTGGAGTTATAAAAAGGCCCAAGAGTATAAGCTAACAGGTTTCCAGGGCAATGCTTCCACTATCCCTATTTATAGAGCAAAGCCTGTAAAAGCAGCTTTCTCCAAGATCTGAATGATATTTATGTGTCTGCGGATCCACTGTGGGGCAGACATGTTGCACTGGGGTGGGGTGTGTAAACACACTCATACTGGGAAGATGTATAGGATGTGGGGTTCTTAAGGCGCTGGCACTAGGCAGCGGCACTAGGCAGCCTCCACCACCCCCCAGCTCCAAGCTATAGACAAGGTGATCCCCACTGTGCAGAGCTCTGCAACGTGGAGCTCAGGAAGTGGGATTCCTAGGACTGAACCCCTCCAAGATCCGCTCTGTATGTGCATGGACGGGTGACCCCTCTCAGGAGCATGATGTAATGGGTGAGATCAGTAACAGCATGGCAAGGCTGGTGTGGAGGCAAATGCGGACGGGGGGAAGGACAGTCTTGGGAACCAGTAAGACCTGGATTTACGGGTCAGTTTCACCACTTGCTTTGTTATCTTAAAATGGGGGTAATATTAATAGCTATCTCCATAAAGCAATTTTGAGAATTTAAAAAATGAATACACCTATAAAATACTCAATGGCTGAGTGTTAGTGAATGCCATGTTATATGGATCTCAAGTGACAGTCTGATAAAATGTCAAAGAACAGTCCTAGTCGTTCCAATCAAAACAAGGCAAATCCTTTGGGACACCTACAAGAAGAGAGAGAGAGACCGCTGCTGCTGCACTTCAGAAACAATGGCGATCCCGGCATGGTGAGATTTTTTTAATGTCTTAAAATCTTTTTTCTTGTTCATATCTACATTTTTTCTATTTGACCAAAAGTCAAGCAGGGCTCTACACACCTAGAATGTGTTGCTTTTCAGACTTTGCAAGCATTCACGTCATGCTCCAGAGCACTAGGGAGAGCCAGCCATCTGAGCAGGCCCCGCTGAGGCACATTCACGTCACAATGTAGACAGGATTATTTATTCAACTTGCCAGTGTGTCCTTAGCACTAATGAACACCCCTGAGCTACCATCAGCTGAGGCACGCTAAAGCCAAAAAGCTTTGGTCAGCCCCCCTAGGTCATGCAGCGAGTGTGCTCACCCACGAAGAGGCAGCGCTTGGAACCAAAGTCATTCTTAAGCCCCTCCACCCCTTCTCTAACCAGTAAGGACTCTCCATTGTCACGTGGCACAGCCTACGTGAGATCAGGAACATTCAATTATCAGCCTCCTTTTCTGGCAGAGCTTTGAAAAGTGTGGAAATTATATTCCACAGTTACTGCAACATGATTCCATCCAAAGTCCCACAAATGCTCAAGCAGCAGAAGTTTGCTAATCTACAGTATGTTATATTCATCTCCCACTTCTTTTATAAAAAGATGCAAATGTGCTGTGCTAATGACATTTAATATTGCTAAGTCACAGATTTAATAAGAGCTGGTATCAAATCTGCTATCTGTAAATGCAGTTCTACAAAAACAGATAAGTGCACACAGCAAAATTAAATTTTTGAAAAAGCTACTACATAAAATAAAAACTTCAAGATCCATGACTATTTTTTAGTATAGACTCTAGAAATAAAGCATTTTAATTCTCAATTAAAACTAATAAGTCATTATGACAAAAGTCCTCTTTTTATTTACTGCCGTTGTAAATGATCACAAAACATATTCATTGTCAAGTGAATGCACAGGCTTTCAAAGGTGATTGTATTCTGCAAGGTGGGGAATAGCCAACTACCTTCTAAGGTGAATGTGCAGCCTGCCATTTCCAACCCCAAAACTCCTCTAGATTCTCAACAGGGCAGCTTCTGCTTCATGCCTCTCTTCGGAAAGGTCAGCCCTGTGTAGAAGGCTTAATACCAACATGCAGATCCACCTGAGAATCACTGGAATGCTCTGGACCCAGCTGGAATGCTTCCGGAACCCAGTCAGGCTTCCGGAAATGAGAATGTGTGCACACACTTCTTTCCGTATGGTTTCACTCTTTCCACAGGTGAATTACTTACCTGCCCGGTCATATAAAATGTGGGATCGCTGTAGGCCCTCCTTCACGTCATTCTCTGTGATCAGAACTCTACTGGGAGAATAGGATTGCCCACTCTTCTTACAGAACATCTTCCTAGAGCTTAACCTAGCCAGCACCGCCAGCTGCAGTCCGTTCAACCCAGCTCGGGCGTCACCGTCACTGAGGTAAGCCAGGGTGTCTACTGCTTTATCCTCTATGAACATGGCGGGCCTGAAACACAAGCAGGGTTAGTTACGGTCACACTCAGGCTGCATACTTCTTGTTCTGCACATGTCTTAGAAACTCATACTTCTCAGCAAGGACACTGAAGAGTTCAAGGCCTTTGCCTCTTATTCTCACCTTTGTCAATGTGCTTAAGCATCATCAAGACTACGAACTGACTGGGGCTCCTAAGTCACCAGGTTATCGCCCTGTATCTTATGAGTGTCGAGGGTATCTCACTGCATAGGTTCATACATCTAAGTCTGTGTGAAACAGACACTGACTGGCCTGGAAAGTCACTGTTGACAGGTGGTCTCTCTGGTTCTACCCTGCACAACAGTGAAAACTTTATTAGAAATGCTAGCACCTCATTACCGTGTATGGAAAACATGTTCCAAATGCAGCCTACATCCGATGAGACAGATGTGCTTAGACCACTTTCCACACAGGGGAGAGTCAGCATTATATCTGAATATTAGCTCTGAAGGGCTCCAGATCATGCAGTTCAATTCCTTCATTTTAAAAACAACAAATTGGGTCCCTAGTTACTCTGAGCACAGCAGGTCCTAGAAGCAGGTCTCAGGATTCTCTTGGCCTGGGGAATCTTGGGATGCTGCAGTAGGTCATCTCATAGTGGACACTAATCATGCAAAATCCGCACAGGGTAGCAGAGAGGTCATTAGCCTGGGAAGCGACGAGAAGACTGCTGGTACATAGCCATGAGACCCTGGGTAAGCCACCTAACCTCTCTCTGAACATCAGGACTAAAACTTACAGTCACATTTCTAAATTTGGACCCTCATAAATAAGATCTAACTATGATCAGAAGGCTGACTCAGTAAAATTTTCTATCCCTAGTTGAGTTAAACAAGACATCTAACACATTTCATAACTTAGTGGGGTCTTATTCCTGGCTGAGCTGCTAGCTGCACATTTGTGAAGCAAAAAAATAAAATTTTTCAGTTACAGTTCACCCATGTCATCAACATTCAGCTGAGAACATCTACAGTAAATAATAAGCCCATTAGGACTGTCCGAATCAGCTACCTGGAAAACAATGTACAGGCACCAACGGGGCTGGGCCGGGGAGGGGTGGCAGTTTCCGAAGGGGACCCAGCTTGCCTGCTGGATCAATGCAGAACTCCTCAGCATACACCCACTCACTGACACTACTCTGCTCACTGAGTAACCCAAATAACACCAATCTGCATTTCATTCACGGAAGGATTTGTTCCCAATGCCTTAAAGATGCCTCATCTCACCCCCATATTTACCAAAGTTGATTTCCAGTTATTCCTTGTGGGTCTCTCACCACACCTAAGACAACTGGCCAGCCCCAGCTTTACAACAAATGACTCTCTCCTCACTCATGCCAACTGCCTGGGCCCCAGAGCCAGTGGTGCAGCCTGGAGACCCATCTTCCTCTCTCCTGATGGTAGCATTCTCTCAGCAGACCTCACCAGAACAACAAAAAAACAAACACCGAGGCCATGTCACTGGCACTCTATAAAGCCTGGGGATCACTGCTCAACCAGAAATTAGTTAGCAAGTCTTCTGGAAGATGATTTAGAAGATAATGATGGACAGAACATATACTAAAGAAAATGTATGGGGAAGGACCAGCATCACAGGGGTGTAGCAGTACGTGACATGCCTGAGAGGGAAGGGTGCACTCTCAGCCCCTTACTGCACTCAACCTGTGTGGGAAGACAGGTAGGGAGAACAGAAACTGCTTGGGCATCTCATTTCTGCCTCAGAACTAGTAAAAACAATGGATTCTCTCTCCTTGGAAAGCTGCCTAGCAACAAAAAGCCTTCAGGACAATTGAGGGAAGAAAAAGGAGTCAAAGCAGGAGCCCCATTGGATCCTAACGGACTGAACTAGCCTATATCCTGCACCATGGGTTGGATTGTGTGTTGATTACATTACATTCATCATCCCTACTATGCGGAGCACCTCAAGGAGAGGAATATTTTATTCTTTGTATTCCCAGACCTGGTAGATGATAGGCATCCAATATTTGCAAAATGAATGGACTAACTTCAGTTTTATCATAATCTCAGAGTGAAACCTTTACTTCTTATAAATTATATGGAAAGTATAGAGAAAACAAAAAGAATCCATATTTCCAGCACTGAGAGATAAAAATGTACTTGATATTTCCAGCAGAATGAAAGCTACTGTGCCAAGTGCTGACTTTACGATCCACTCACCCATGCAACCATCAACCTTACAGCTAACCTAAAACAAAAACTGGGACCATATTTTACATAGTTTTACATCCTTAACCATTAAATAATTGTTTGAAAAACAAGCTACTCAGACCTGTCAACATTTACTTTAAAAAAATTTACATTAAATTTTAAAAATAGACAAAGGGAGAAAATTCACCTTCTGCTAGACTACCTTGACGTTAGTATTTTGGTATGTATCCCTTCTCCATGAATTTGTCTTTTGTATGTATTTAGGGGCATGGCATGCTCTTTGGACAGTGACGAGATGGGCAGCCTTATATACCATGGTATTTACTAGTATAAACTGCCTCATTTCCATTAGTCCTCATATACAGACAGGGAGGCAGGCCTTATTAATTAGGACAGAAGCCAGCTAGCCGTCTACTCCATTGATTTATCAACAGTATGCTGTGAATAAGTCTTTAGCAATGATTATGTATTTTATGTGGTTGGAAAATAAGGTCTTCCTTTGGCTTTTAAACTCCTGACCAAAGTACAAGTGGTTCCACACTTCTGGTTTGGAGTCATGGGGAATGGAGGTGCTGCCACAACGAAAGCTACCTGAGCTCGCGCCACTCCCTTCTTCTTCCTCCCCTTGGGTATAATCCACATTTTAAATTTCACCCCGTCCAAAAGAAGAAAGTATTTCGAGGCCCAGATCAATCTGTCGGCAACTCTGTCCAAGTAATACAGGACCTGCTGACAGCACTCACAATGATCACACAAGAAAATTACAAAATGGAGATTCACTGTGAAGACGACTGAGCAGGGAAAGGTTCCACTTAAACACCCAATATATCTTGAACTCCCATTTACTAAGTTCTGAAGAACGAAGTAAGATATACTAAAATACCCTGAGATCTTAGAATGGGAAGCCCATGAGAGAACTCATGCCAAGAATGATGAAGGGATAGTTGTATTGATATTGGCAAAATCCCTCAGCAAACTGCGGCACAAACTATTTTGAAAGAGTGTTCCCAGTCTAGAGAATTTACAATTATTTTTAAATTTAAGCATATATTAAAATTAAGCATATATTTATAAAGTGTTTTGCACTTAAAAATAACCTTCCAAAGGTAGAATACAATAAAAAGAGGTAAAATCTATTCTGGGGATAGACTGCCCAAAATGTCATAACATCCTACATGGAAATAAACAATAGGAAGTAAATTATGTTGTTATAATAAAACACTATTTATAATAAGGGAAAATTGGTTAAAATAAATGCATTGGAAAAGATTCTATTTCTAGTTAACAAAACCTAGAGATAGAAACAGACTTAAGAGAGCTTGGCTTCTCCAACTGATGAGAAGGGCTTTAATTTTAACAGAAGAATATAGGAAGCTCTCTTCTTTCCTCTTCCAGGTGCCTAAATCCTGAAGCTTTCTACACATTGGGTAATACTGGAATTTGGAGGATACTACTTAGACAGCTGGATATGTAAGTTGGAGAAGGAGTGCAGTAAGTAAAAATGTACCTGTTATTTCAAGGCAGAATGAAAGAATATGCATGGCTTGGTTAAACTCTCCCTCTCTAAATTACAAACCAAACCCCACAAATCTCTTCCACTAAGGAAAAGGAACATTTCATGGTCAGGGTGATAACTGCTGTGTAGAAGTTTCAACCAGGGATATGCATCAAGTTAGACACAAATACAGCCACATGTACCTTACCTACCATAGACTGAGCTCAAATCTCCAGGGGCAGACCCTGGGCAAGGCATGTTTCTAAAATGTATCCCAGGGAAGTGTGATGTGCAGATCTGGTTAAAAGGCTCTCCTGCTGCTCTTACACAAAGAAGTGCCAAGAGAGAAAAGTCAGAACAGAAAAACCGAGCAGTGGGTCCATCCTCTGTAAACTTGGCACCTCCACCCCTTGTAGCACTTGAAGTCACTGAGAAGACAGAGACATGCCTTAAACACTGGCTCCATCACATTGAAGCTGGTTGGTCTTGGGCATGTTACTTAACCTTTTTGTGCCTCAGTTTCCTCATCTAGTAAATAGGAGGTAATGAGATCTACTTTGCAGAGCTGTATTGAGGACTGAATGAGATTAAGACATGTGGAATGCTTAGAGCAGTGCCTGCCATGTCATGAGACTCGACAAATACTGCTTTGGTATCAACAGCGAGGAGAATCACCCTCATCAGACTGTGCAACAGCATACTCTCCAGAACTGCACATATCCAAGGCAGAGCCCCAGATGCTGCCGCTTCCATAACATCAGAGTGAAAGCAAAGCAAAACAAAACTGACTTTCTCCACAAAGAGAGAAGGTACATTTCAGATGACGACGTCTTTCTGTTTAATCCCATGGAGGCACATGTCTTTCCAAATTACATTATACTTGGTAGGGGTCTGTAGTGGGTTGAATAGTGACCCCAAAAGATGTAAGTCCTAATCCCTGGAACCTGTGACTGTGACTTTATTTGGAAATAGGGTCTTTGTAGATGTAACTAAGGGTCTCAAGATGAAATCATCCTGGATTTAGAGTGTACCTTAAATCCAATGACAAATGTCCTTACAAAACACAGAAAAAGAGAAGACGTAAGGACACAGAGAAGAAGGCCACCATGTGAAGATGGATGTAGAGACTGGAGTGACATAGTCATAAGCCAAGGAATGCCAAGGGCCATCAGATGCTGGATGAGAGCATCGCCTTGTTGATACCTTGATTCTGGTCTTCTGGCTTTCAGAACTGTGAGGATAAAGCTCTGTGTTCTGAGCCACCCAGTTTGTGGCAATTGTTACAGCAGCCACAGGAAGTGCATCCAAGGACCATGAGATCTGTGGTTCTGGCTGCTGGTGCTTTTATGGCATTATTTTAATGCACCCTTGTATTAAAACAGCTATGTTAATGTACTGTATTAATGTACTTAAAAAATTTTTAAATAAAAAGATTGACATCTACTCTATACCAACCATTTATTCTGGCCAATCCCTTGTATTCTGGAGTTCCACTACCTTTCTTTCTATTCAATGGCACAAAAGGTTATTTAAGACACTTTAAACTTTTATAAAAAGAAGAATCCATAGCCACCTTGTTTGGGGGCCAGCTTGTCAGGGGCTCTCCTCTCCAGATGATTAGAGAAAAGCCCCACACCCAGTTACGCCACAGCCCTTACCCAGGGACAGACGCCACTTTCTGTCTTCCAACCACCTCTCGGAACTCAGCCTAGCTAGGCAGAGGGCAGTTATGGCTTCTCATTTCACTCTCTTGATCTCCAAAGACTTGTATACTCTATCTGGTTCACAAATAATTGATTCTTTAGGAGTGTTTTTGACTATGTATATATTCTATGACCTAGGAATCTATATTCCTTCAAAGCAGC
Organism: Homo sapiens; assembly: GCF_000001405.40. Classification (NCBI taxonomy): domain Eukaryota; kingdom Metazoa; phylum Chordata; class Mammalia; order Primates; family Hominidae; genus Homo; species Homo sapiens. The sequence continues at coordinate 2,773,707 of NC_000006.12, read as the reverse complement.
AAGTAGTGCAGGATGACGAAATGCTAGCTTACTTTTTCATTTTCAGCAGCACAAGCTCATTCTTCGTATCATGAATCATGGACATTTTTTTCCTGGCCTCCAAAATTAACCCAGAGCAGACAGAATCTTCACTGTTTGTATCATGTGATCCAAATATTTTTGGGAGAGCAAAATACCTGAACACTACTGCTTAGCCATACAAACCAAAGCAACTATGGCGTAGACAATGAGCTTTCTATTTCACTCAGTTAAATTCTGCTTATCCTTCAAAACTCAACTCCGCATCCCCTCATCTAGGAGGTGAAATACTGGATTTCACATATTCTGAATGCTGCTTCTCTACGCCCACTGCACTTGGCGTATAAGCGTGGCACTGGAAGTGGACCTGCTCCCCTAGCCTTCATCATACTGCGCTCCCTCTGAAGGCACAGGAACAAGCTTTTCAACCCTCAGCCAATGCCTAGCATATGCAGGAGCTTCAATTTTGACTGAATAATAACTACAGGAGGGAATTTTTTTTTAAAAAAAGAACACTTATTTCACTTTAATGGGAATTTATCACTTACATGAGTATACTGTGTGACAACTCACAATTCCTCAAGTGCAATCAAGAACGGCTAAGCGGCAGCTTGATTAGTTTCCAAATCCAGTGCCCTGCTCACCTCCTCTCACGTGCAGTTCAACAGCCTGGGACTTCTCTGTAAATGTTCTAGTTGCTATCTAGGGCACCAAAACATGACACAAGAATACAAATGCACACCAATAGCTTCCTGGAGAGAGAAAGTAAGTATATGGGGTTGGAAGTCTTTTCTTTCAACTAGATTAGTGTCACCAAATCTGATTTATATGCACAAGGATGTATATAGAGCTGTCAACAGGGATTGGAAAGCAAAATTTTACCTAAAACAACTAAAAGACATCCCAATCCACTCTTAATTATCCCTGACAGTTGGGGTGGCAGGTACTTGTATTCGGAAATCACTTGTAAGAGTTCTTTCTGTGGCCTATGATATCTCCTAACTTAACTTCTTGTTAGAATTGCTAACAAGTTGACCAATTAATGGTTTTAAGCTTAACATTCTTTCATTTTACTCTGCTTGCTGCTGATGAAAAGGGCAATAGTATTAAAGAAAAAGGCTCTTGATACCTGGGTAATTATCCCTTATGCTGGATAATGCAAAACATATTAAACTACTTTTCTCATATCGAAAGCTAGGATTTATTCATTTCCAAACCATTCACAAAGCACATAATGTGTGCCAGGCACTGTGCTGGGGATATGAACAGGGACAAGCTCCTGTCCTCACAGTCTTCCCAGGAAAGCGGGGGACACAAGATAGCAAATATAATTGGGATCAAGTCTAAGCAAGCGGTAGTGGAAATAGTAAATCATTTACTGGATATGGGAAGTTTTCTCTGAAAAGCAATTTTAGCAGATAAACAATCTCTAGCTCATTGTTATATCAGTTTCAATAACTAAATCTTAATTATTTCACTTGATCTTCTCAAACTTTAATGTGCCTGCAAATCACCTGAGGATTTTTAATAATAAAATATAGAAATTCTTCTCACAAGGATGAGCTCCTTGGCTGCCGCCTTTCTCATTTCCTTTAAATTCCTGCACGGCAGTGACTGGGGAGAGGTGAAAAAACCTGAGGGTATCTGAGTAACAACTGATTATTATTGACTTCATGTCATCAATATTAATTATTGATTTCATGTTCTATTTCATGAACTGATGACATGAAATCAATAAAAATCACCCCAGACAAGTACACATGCAGAATATTAAGTTGCAGATACATTACGATAACCAGTACACAGAGCAAAGAACACACAGAAACATGAAACATGTTAGGATTTCCCCCCTTTTCTTTCAATTTGTCTTTACCATGTGGTTCTATGCGTCTGTAATGAGAATTCTGTTACGGGAAACCTACACATGAGTATCCCACATCTGAAGTGCCTGGGACCAGAAGTGGTCTGAATTTCCTATTTTTTTGATTTTAGAATATTTGCATTATATACTTACCAGATGAGCACCCAAAATCCAGAAATCTGAAGTGCTCCAATAAGCATTTCCTTTCACAGCATCATGAAGGTGCTCAAAAAGCTTTAGATTTGGGAGCATTTTGGATTTCAGATTTGGGATACTCAACCTGTACTACATATGAGGAGCTGGCAGCCCCCTTAGGCTCTGACAAATGCCCACCACATAAAGCACTTCTGAGTATGAGTCCATGTGGCTGATACCACAGGTTCCACACACTGCTTGTGGCCACAGATGTAATGGCTATCCCCATCACAACGGTATTCCAAAACAAGGCCACTCTGTCCTACCCAGTGGTCCACGGGCCAAATGTTTCAATGCTTTCATTAGACACAGCAGAATTCTCCCTCCATCTCAGACAGGAGCAAATGGGGCCAGACACATAGGGAGAGCCTGGTGAAACCTAAACCCTGAGCCTAAACTATGCCTTGTACTTTAATCCTCACAGAAAAGTGGCTCCAGAACTTGGCCTCAGGGCAGGCACGAGCAGCTGCAGAGTCCACAGCAGGAGGAGGTGGGCAATAGCCTCTCATCACACCAGATTATGTTCCATGGCAGTATTTCAGCCAACGTATGAACAAATACCATCTGAAGAATATGTTCTAATATTAAAAAAAAGGAAAACCCCTGACCCAAGAAATCAAATTATCTATGATATACACTTGGTGCATTAACGAGCTCATGTGGTACTCATGATGCAGAAATAGGTCACTAAAAGGATAGGGACAGCCTATAATGTCATATTCAGTTAACATTCCTTTACTTTCATGAAACTGAGTTTCAACTACACAAAAAGGATTACATAATTTTAAGGTTACAAGTTAATTTTTACTTGATTTTTTTTTTTTAACAAAATGCTAAACTGCAGGTTAAAAAGAAATTGAAACATGAGTACAATGCTCAAAAGAGTTGTATGGTAAGTCTAGAAAGTATTTATCTATCTATTTGTTCTATTCAATGAGGGACATAAAGCCTTTCAAATCATCAATAAGGCTTCCCATAGAAGCCTAAGCACAAAAGCAAACACCCAAGAACCAAAACAACAAAGCAAAGTTAAAGCTTGAAGAATTATAGAAACACATATTAGAGGCTGGAAAATGCATCTTCAAGTGTGCAGGGATAACTTTGTTAGGTATAATCGAACATTTCCCTCCTCTTTTATTTTCATTACGGGCGGATCAACATTTCTTCTCTGTCCCCACCCTCTCCTCACTGACGCCCGGCCCTTTCTGGCCCCCTGCCAGGAGACTCTCTGGGAGGTGTGTGCCCCCAGGACGCTGCACACTGTCAACTTACTCTGAGCTGCTGTTGCTGCTGTGGCTCAGAGGGTCAGTGGGACGGCTAGAGTCTAGGACGTGGATTCCCAGGGAGTTGATCGCTCGCATTAAAATAGTCACCATTGCCTCTACTGGAAGCTTCTCAAGAACAATCACTCGACAGCGGCTCAGAAGAGCAGCGTTGACCTGGAAGGAAGGGTTTTCAGTGGTTGCCCCAATCAGAGTGATCGTCCCACATTCCACGTGAGGAAGGAAAGTGTCCTAATCATGGGAGGAAAACAGAAAAAAGTGATTCCAGTCAACAGCCACCTGCAGAATCCTATGTAAGTTGGCTATCCCTTCCTTCCTTTTCCTCATTTTTATCTTTCGAGTTCAGGAATAGCAGCAGCCTTATATTCACTGAATATAGATGCAATATTTGGGGGAGTACAACTCTTGCTTTTAAGTCTGAAACACATCTTCTGGAATGCCCGTCCAAGCCTGATCTCTTGCTGGTAGACTAATAGCTTTAAGTAGAATTCTAGCTTAGTTTCAACATAAATGATTTCTTTACTCAGAAAACCATCTTCTACCAAAGGCTGAACTGGCACATAGCTTATATGTAACAGCTATTTATTTATAGACAAGAACACACAAAAACATTAACACTTCCAGAATCTTCTTCCACAGCAAGCACTCAATCATATTATTATTATTCCTATTATGCTGTTTTATGGGGAAAAAATACTAAGATGAGTCAGTGGTCCAATATGAAACCTAGAATGCTAACGCCTCGTCAGAACTTTAAAAGGGTCTTTTTATTCAAAAAGGTTCAAAAAAGGCTCAGTAGAGTTTTGTGAAATATTCTATGTATGATTAAAAAGTTACAAAAAAAAATTTTTTAAAGTTATGCCTAAAAATTTAATTTTTTTTTATTTAGAGTATAGCTCTCAGATCTCAGCCCAATAAAATTTTAATGTTTATTTTTTTTTAAATCCCTAAGTGGCTTTGTTTATAAAAATAGCTTGTGTCCTTTTATTTCAGAAACCCATTTAAATAAACAGTAATCATTAGCTCTTCCAACATTCACCTTGAAGACAGAGCCTGGAGTTACAGAAAATACCGATTGTTTAATTTTCAAAATAAAAATACTGTTAAAGTAATTTTTAAAAACCCATTAAAATAATGACCTTAAAATCATTATTTTACTGTTCACAATGACTCCTAGTATTTAGATTAAAAATTCCTAAAACTGGAAATTTGATTCAAAGGTGCTTTTCTGATACGTATAGCTCAGGGATATGCCAACCATTTCATTTATCAGATAGAGAAAGCATTTTCTTGTTATCAAAAAACACTAAGAAATGTATGGAGAAATAGGCTTGAAGGAGATGGGTTCACAAGCCTACGCTTCTTTGTAAACAAAGCTCGTAAGTCTCTAGCGTTTGTATAGTGATCTCACACACTTTATATTGTTTGATGTTCACAACGACCAAAAGGTAGAAGGAAGTTAATATACCTGCTGAGATTTATTGAACCGATGAATCTCATCAATAAAAAGGATGGTTTTCCTTTTGAAAAAGCTCTTTTCATTTTGAGCTTGTTTTATGACATCTCGCACATCATTTGTCTTGGCATTTGTTGCAGATAATGTCACAAACCTTATGCTATGTTTCTTGCTGTTGCTGGCTATGATGTGAGCCAGAGTGGTCTAGAAAAGATGACATACATGGAGTTTGAAAAGCTGGTAAGACACAGAGAGACCAGCACCCATGGGAACCACCACACGCAGCATCACTATTTACCAAAAGCAACTTGACCTCGGAAGAATGCTGAGCAGCACAGAAACAATCAAAAATACCACAGGACATTTAAAAACAACAACAACAAAAATATTATAAATAAAACAGGAAAGTAGCTAAACCTTAGGCTAATCCTGACCTTTTCTCCTCTGTCCCTAACCACCTTTGATTCCTTTTTGGGTGACTCTTTAAGATCTTTGGAATCCCAGTAAAGAACGGCTGTCTTGATTTAGCAGAGTGACAGCTGTGACCTCTCACCAAAGAGAAAATTCTCCCTCCTCTAGCCGAGACAGCACGGAAGGATCTAGGTGCAGAACTCATCGCAGAACCACAGCCCGAACTGGAAGCTCAGGACAGCTGAGAAAAGGAGAGTGAGGGAGCATTTGCCTTGAGACCAATGACATCCACCTAGCATTTGAGATGACTGTAGGCCACTTCTGCATGTTCACTCTGGTAGGAGATGAAGGGCAGCACTGTGGTCACATTAGCAATTACTAGAAAACCAAGGAGACCCAGGTAAAGCACTTCTTGGGTCCTCAACAAATATGTATATGCTGTTATTAATATGAATGTTGTTATTAGTACTAAAGGATGAGAAGAAAAACTGAAGACTGTTTAATGACTGTGACAAATCTGCACCTAAATGGAAAGGTGGTACTTTCTTTTCTAAAAGTTGTAGAGCACCCATTCTGTGGCTGCTTCTTTCAGAAATCCCCGCCTGCCTGCCTTTTGGAATCAGGCTCGCAAGTCACAGATGCCTAGGCTTGCAAATGACCAACGCCCATCTCACTGAGCAGCCTGGACCACCCAAACCTCTTGCCTGGCATTTGGTAGGTGGGATGAGCTCACCCACTCGTCTCCCTAAGGACCTTCTTGCTGTCTGGGGCCACCAACAGCTGATTATCCATTCTCATGATCTTATGTAAAGACTTCACAATTACTAAGAATGATACTGCTCAATCCCTTAAATGGGGTTAACAACTAAATCCATGGGGACAGACGTCAACAACTCGACCACCATCATCATAAGATGTTATTTGGGATAGATGTGGTTTATTCCTGGCCAAAGGGAAGGCATGAGTGCAAACAAGAAGGCACAAAAAGGGCAATTCATTCCAGGAACTGGAGTTAAAGGGGGTGTGCTTAAGTTGTGGGAGATAAAGCTAGAAAGAAAAATAGGAGAAAAATCATAAAAGCCTTGTGTGCAAACGAGTCTGAATCTCAAAGCTACAAGAACTCTTTACAGTTTGATCCCTGAATTCTCCCTTTCCCTTCCTGATGCTGGTTCTTCTCCCTTATTATGGATAAAAGCATCCTGTATTTAAGCACTTCTTAGCTTTCTCTGTTTTCTGGCTCACCTCCTCCATTTTTTTCTCAAGTGTTTTTCCAATGACATGCTTTCTAGACTCACAATATCCTAACTGCCCTCATCTGGAACGCTAACGCCTCACGAAGGGACACAGAACTGGACACCAAAATGCACGGATGTTTCTTCTCTAGAGTACAAGGCATTATGAGAAAAGTTACGGAAATACCGGATGAAAATGACTTGCAGATGAAAAAGTTTTTATGTTAGTTTTGTAAATACATGAGTATATTTAGTAAAATCAATATATTCTCAAGAATATAAGAATGTTAAATAAACTTATTCTTAAGAATAAATACCAGTCTGTTAAACCAACAACTAGTGGAAAAGGAAGGAAGCACAACAGAATTAATTTGATTTTTTTCAAAGCTGAATCCGTTATTATGTACAAACGGAATATACAAATGTTTCTTTACAATTTAAACATGCTGATTCCTTGCGAATTCGGTTACTAAATCAAAGTCTGGGGAGGGGGCGGGGAGACCGATGGAAGATAAAGGCAGATCAAATCTAAGAGTCCACATCTTGTAAAACTATGGATTCACAGACATCGTCCTTTTGCAAACCCGGCAAGCCTGCCTTACCAATCTGGGGGTGTGTGCCCTTTTCACACCCATCACAGACTCCACCTGTGGACCAGGCACTGCCCCAGCCCAGCCCAAGTCTGCACCCCCTTATCCAGGAGAGGCAGGCGGCTTCTTTCGAGGGCAGCACACCCGGCTCTCCGACCATCAGCTGCATCCACCGCCGAGATAACTACGGAAGCCCAACGGCCAAGGCCGCACTCACCTTGCCGCAGCCCGGCGGCCCCCACAGGATAAGCGAGGGGATTTCGTTGGTCTCCAGGAGCGAGCGCAGCAGGGTATCCTGGCCCACGGCCTTGCTCTGCCCGAAGTAATCCTGCAGCGTGTCAGGACGCATCGTGTCGGCCAGCGGCTTGCCCTGTAGCATCTGTCGGATCTCCTCGGCAGCCAGCGCCCGGGGGTGCGGGCGGCCCCCGCCACTGGCCCCGAAGGCGGTGGCGGCTTCGGCAGCGTCCGCGTCCCAGTGCCCCGGGTCGTCCTCGCCGTCCGCGTCCGCGTCCCCGTCGCCATCGCCGTCGCCCACGGCCTCCTCCTCCTCCTGCGCCTCCGCCTCGTCCCAGCTGCGCGGAGACGCGCTCCCCGCCGCGGCGGCGGCCGCCGGCCTCTTCCCCGACCCCTTCCTCCCGGGGCTGCTGGAGCGGGCCACCGGGAAGTCGGGGATAAGGCGGGCGCCGCTGGGTGTGGGCGGCGCGTCGTAGCTCTCGCGGCTCTCGGTCTCGCCGCCGTCGTCGCCCTCCTCACCCTCGCCCTCGCTGCTCTCGGCTGCCGTCGGGGTGGCTGGCTGCTTCAGCGCCGAGCTCTCCGACAGCCGCCGCCTCTTGGCGCCGGGCGGCGAGGGCCCCTTGGCCCGCTCCCCGGCGCGGTGCGACCCGGCCGCGGGCTCCGCGTGCCCCGCCGGGTGGAGCAGCAGACAGCGGTCCAGGTGCGAGTTGATGTGCGCGGCGGGCATCATCTGCTGGCACACGGGGCACTGCACCTGGTGCAGCTGCGAAAGGAAGGGGTCGTCTTCCGGCCCGCTCACCTCCATGGCGGCCGCCGCCCTCCCCGGCGCCCGGCGCGGCCGCAGCAACCCGTGCGCACGCGGAGGCCTTCGATGCCCTCCGCTAGGCCCCGCGCCGCGAGACCCTCGCTCGGGGAACCAGCAGGACGCTCGCGGGCCGGAGGAGGGCGCCGCTCATGCCTCACGTCCGCAGCTCCCGCGTCCGCCCGCCCTCGGCCGGCCGCTGGCAGCGCCTCACGCGGCGTGTCGGGAAGTGTAGTTCGTGGCCGTTTGCCCCGGCGGCGGAGGCGCCTCGCGCGGCATGTAAGTAAGTGTAGTCCGTGGCCGTTTGCCCCAATCACCGCCGAGAATACCTCGCGCGGCACTTCGGGAAGTGTAGTCCGCGGCCATTCGCCCCAGCTGCCGTGCGTCCATTTCCGACTCTGAGAACAGCCTTTGCGGGGGCGGGGGAGGGGCGGGGGGGGGGGTTGCGAGGCGAGCGTGGTGCGCGTGCGCGAGGTTGCGCGGTGGCGGACGCAGCCCTCCGCCCAGGCCTGCGAGTCGCGCGAGGGCAGGGAGGAGCCACGGACTGCGCGAGGTTGTTGGAGCGGCGAGCGCCGCTTTCCCGGCCTTCCGTGCTGGGCTGTTGAATGGGCCTGTGGGGACAAGCAGGAGGCGGCCGCAGCGGGTCGTTTGTAACGAAAGGGAAATGGGGGAAAAAACCCAAAAGCCTCCAATAGAAAACCAGTGTTCTATTGGACGTGAACAGCAGAAAAAATACAAACAAGTACGCGAGTGAAAGAAATGCTCACCTCAGTAGTGGTCAGGGAAATGAAAATAAAGCGTCCCTCGCCCCCTTTTAGATGTGTTGGCGTTTAAGTCAAGGGCGGTTCACCTACAGCGCGCTTCGAGCCAAGAGATGCTTCTCGCGGGCCGCTGTGTAATAGTGGCAAATCGGAAACACCAGCCTTCTGTCTCCTTAGCAACCAAATGATGGGAGGCGCCCGTGTGCAATTACGTCCTAGACGGATAGAAATGGAAAGAATATCAGATTAAAACAAGTGTGGTAGTCTGCATCTTTGAATGAATTACCATGTTATTTTTTGCTTTTGTCTAAGTCTCCCGTTTTAAAACATGTATCTCAAAACAGGCATTTTTGGTAACTAGAAGAGGTAAATGAATTGAGGGAGAATGAAGACTTTTCCGAAATTTGGCCAAAACTTGAATTTTTATTTCATCTGGGCAAGAGCACATTGAGGGTCTCACTCGTTCTGTCGCCCAGGCTGGAGTGCAGGGCCGCGACCAGAGCTCACAGCCTTGAACTCCTGGGCGCCCGGGACCCTTCCGCCTTAGCCTTTGGAGTCGTCCTGGGGTTACAGGCTGAGCCACCACGCCTGGCTGGCTGGTTAAGAGTTGTTTCTAACTAAAAAAGTTAGGCTCAAAAATAAGATTAATAGAAACGCTAGAGAAACAAGTTAAACTTTAATCATCATGTAACGTGAAACTACCAAAAGAGGATCGTGAGCTTTCATTATTTTTTTGAGACGCAGTTTCACTCTTGTCCAGGCTGGAGTGCAATGGCGCAATCTCAGCTCACGGCAACCTCCGCCTCCCGGGTTCCAGTGATTCTGCTGTCTCAGCCTCTCGAGTAGCTGGAATTACGGGCGTCCGCCACCACACCCAGGTAATTTTTTTGGATTTTTAGTACAGACGGGGTTTCTTCCTCGAACTCCCGACCTCAGGTGATCCGCCCACCTCGGTCTCCCAAAGTGCTGGGATTACAGGCATGAGCCACTGCGCCCGACCGTGAGCTTTTTTTTTTCATTTGTCCCTCAGCAGTGAGAGGTGACAGCATTCTGGCAGCCCTCTCAGTCCTCGCTCGCTCTCAGCGCCTCCTCTGCCTTGGCGTCCACTCCGGCCGTGGTTGCGAAACCCTTCAGCCTGCCGCTGTACTATGGGAGCTCTTTCCTGGGCGGGCCAAGGCCGGAGCTGGCTCCCTCAGCTTGTGGGGAAGTATGGTGGGAGAGGCGCGGGCGGGAACCGGGGCTGCGCGCGGTGCTTGCGGGCCAGCGCGAGTTCCGGGTGGGAGTAGGCTCAGATAAGCCTCGCGCTCGGAGCGGCCTGCACCACCGGCCCAGGACGGTGAGGAGCTTAGCACTTGGGACAGCACTTCTCGCCAGGCCGTAGTTGCCTCCACGCAGCGCAAGGCTCAGGCCTGCCATGCCTGAGCCTCCCCCCAACTGGGGACTCCTGCGCGGCCCAAGCCTCCCTGAGAAGCGCTGCTTACTGCCTCACGGCACCCAGGGCCGTTCACCACCCCAGAGCTGAGCAATGCAGGCTCATTACGTGGGACTAGCAAGCAACTCTATACTGCAGCCCCAGTTCAGAAATTAATGGGAGAAGCCAACTGGGTTTCTGAGTCTGGTGGGGACTTGGAGAACCTTTATGTCTAGCTAAGGGATTGTAAATACACCAATCGGCACTCTGTATCTAGCTCAAGGTTTGTAAACACACCAATCAGCACCCTGTCAAATCAGACCAATCAGCTCTCCGTAAAACAGACCAATGGGCTCTCTGTAAAATGGACCAATCAGCAGGTTGTGGGTGGGGCCAGATGAGAGAATAAAAGCAGGCTGCTAGAGCTGGCGATGGAGACCCGCTTGGCTTTCTTTTGCTTGTGTGGGTGTTTTGTTCTTTTATTTTTTGCATTAGCTGGTGTTTGGGTCTGAATTGTCTTAATGAGTGGTAATACTCACTGTGGAGACTTGTAGCTTTATTTCTGAAGGCAGTCAGACCACAAACCCACTGAACCCACTGGCAGGAACGGCTAACTTAAGAGATGCTGACCTAAGACCTCTAACGGTCTCCGGGAAGGTCTGCCAGTTGATTTCTGAGCCGGCGAGATCAGGAAGCTACCAGAAAGAAGAAACTCTGCACTGTGTTTAAGAACTGTTAACAGTTTCCGTGAGGGTCTATGCGTTTATTCATCAAGTTAATGAGAGTAAAAACTCATTGACTGCGAGCACATAAGGATTATTGCAGGAGCATCACAGAAGTGAATACTTGCAAAACAAGTTTTAGGGCTGATCTCAAAGCAAGGTTTTCAAGAAAAGTGTTACTAAATGTGGAAATACAGTACACTGATTTTAAACATTTATAGAGATAACGTGGCCACATGATCAATTAACCCATCCAAAAAATTTTAAAATGGAAACAAATTTCTTGAATCTCTTAATATAAGGCCTAAAATTTCTTTTTTCAGAAAATAATGCTGTGGAAAATCTACAAGTCTACTTGTAATCATTGTTAGTATTTTGGTACCTTAAGTCTCTTAGGACGTGTTTCAAGATTAGACAGTAGAGTTGCATATAGACCTAATTTTACGTCCAACTTTATTGTTAATAGGGTTTTCAAAAGTATTGTCATGGGAAACTTGTGTACTATGGGAGTAAAAATTAAGAGAGATAGAATTAATATAAACTCCGGTAATCCCAGCAGTTTGGGAGGCTGAGGCGGGCGAATCACAAAAGGACAGGAGTTGGGGACCATCGTGGCCAACATGGTGAAACCCTGTCTACTAAAAATACAAACATTAGCTGGGTGTGGCGGTGCGAGCCTGTAGTCCCAGCTACTTGCAAGGCTGAGGCAGGAGAATTACTTGAATCTAGGAGGTGGAGGTTGCAGTGAGCCGAAATCACAACACTGCATTCCAGCCTGGCGACAGAGCGAGAATCCGTCTCAAAAAATAAAAACAAAACCTAATGTATATAGTATAATGCCATTTCCTTTTTCTACTTGTGCTTTTCTATCCTATATTATGTAAATAATAAAAAGGAAAAATACAAAGCAAAGATTGTGTGTGTGTGTGCATGTCTCCCACAGCTACATACATGGATGAAGTTGAGCTATTTGGATGACCTATGAGGTGAAAATGACTCTAGACCTTGACTTCAAGAACCTGGGTTTTGAGCTGTCCATAGTGTGACCTTGGGCAAGCTACATAACTTCTCACACTCAGTTTCCAAATCTAAAGGAGGAATAAGAATGCCTACCTCACGGTCTGTCATGAGAATTAAGTGAACTTGTCAATGTGAAAGTATTTAGTAAAGTGCCTGGCACCCAGTAGGTCCTGTAGTAATATTTTTTCCTGAACCCTAGTCCCCTCTGTCTGAAGTTCAAGGTTTTCTCCACTAGGTGGTGATGGTAGAAAAATAAATGAAAAAAACGTACTTCAAAAATCACCCCTCCTCTTAGATTGCTTTGCCAATCAAATTTAAACTTTCTTTTCAGATCAGCATAAATACAAATAAATTTAAACTCGTATAGTATAAGGTCCCAGGAAATGAAATCAATGTAAAGCAGAAACCTAGGCTTCCATTTTCTCCTTTAATACCTCACTGTTTAATTGTCTGCAGCTGGCCTCGGTGGTTTACTTTTAAGTGTGTAACTATCTTCTCTGTCTTCCTTCCCCACAGTCAGAATGGGGAGGATAGATTCGGTGGTGACTCAAATAGACCTGTCAGTAACGACAAGTAGAGTCAGCCTGGCTGCAGTGCCTATGAGCAGGTATTTTATAAGCCATCTACTACTAGTGAACCTTTGGGCATGATCTTGCGCACCTTCATGTTCATACCTAAGGTATGCTGGACAGTTGAGTCCAGTTAATCCCACATGACTCACATCCCTGCCATCTTTAGTCAGCATCTTAAAAGTTAGTCGTATGGTTATCTATTCTTCCTACTCTGATTACTGCCCCCTAACCCAAACTCATGTTCCTCTCTCTTCTTGACTTTCCACTACATCTTCTGGAATCTATGCCACATTTCGTATTGTTTATTCTAACACATTTTATATATTTCCTTACTATTGTAAGTAGAACCTTTTATTTACTCTATTTTCTTACTGCCCTTTATTGGTATGAAAGAAATGCATTGATTTTTTGTTAATTTATTTCATACTTGGCCTTTTTGTGAACTCTTATTAGTTTTAGGTGATTTTCCATTGATATTCATAGTATAAAAAGGAGTATATACAGCCTTTCTCCCTGGCTCCTGGCAGAGATCTTCAGAATCCCGTGGGATTTCCTGAGTGCTAGGAGTGCCTATATAATGCTAATGAAGCAACTCCTAGTGGCTCCCTAAGGTTGGAACTTGGGACCAGCTCAATCTCAGGGGCTAGAAATTGAATTTGATTGCTTGGCCAACAATTTAATCAATCATGCCTACACAATGAAACCTCAATAAAAACTCTGGACATAGAAACTCAGTGGAGCTTCCTGGTTGTGAACATGATGATGTGCTGGGAGGGTGGTGTGCCTGGATTCTACAAGGAGAGGGCTTGGAAGCTCCATGTCTGGGACCCTCCTGCCCCTCACCCATGTGTCTCCTTTATAATAAAACTTATAAAACTATGCACATACTCCCATATATTTTAAGTCATCTCTAGATTACTTATGATACCTAATACAATGTAAATGCTATATAAGTAGTTATTATACTGTATTGCTTTTTTATTTGTATTATTTTTTGTAACCTATGCACATATGCTCATATATTTTAAATCATCTCTAGATTACTTGTGATACCTAATACAATGTAAATGCTATATAAATAGCTATTATACTGTATTGGTTTTTTATTTGTCCTATTTTTTATTAATTGTACTGCTGTTTCTTATTTTTTCCCAAATTTTTGATCCACTGTTGGTTGGATGAGAAGGTGCAGAACATGTGGAAATGGAGGGCCAACTGTATTGTCAAATTATTGGAAAGATCAGTTCTCTGTATCTTATAAAGTGGAATGTGAAAGGACATTTGACAAAAGTCTACTTCAATCATTGATTTTTAAAAATCTCTAGTAAAATAGAGAAAGTTATCTTCTTAACATGATGATTTTTGTTTTTGCCCTCAAACCAGCACCATTATCATGTTGAATGGTAAAAACATCATTGATGAGGGGAAAGGTTTATTTTTTAAAAAATAATGCACTAACCGTAAAAGGAAAAGATTAATACATCTTACTACATGAAAATGAACATCTATTTATTTAGCAGAAGATACTACAAGAGTGAAAATACAAGGAACAGAAAGGGAGAAGACATCTTAAACACACATTACTGTCAAGCACAGTGTGTAGGATGTAGAATAAGTCCTACATAATGATAAGAAAATAGGAGAAAATGTAATTAAAAGTGAGTAAAGAACATAAATATGTACTTCATGAAAAACAGAGACCAAGTGACCAAATATGTATTTGAGAACATCTTAGCTGGGCACAGTGGTTCATGTCTGTAATCCCAGCAGTTTGCGAGGCCAAGGCAGGAGGATCACTTGAACCCAGGAGTTCAAGACCAACCTGGGCAAAAAAGTGAGACCTCCATCTCTACAAAAATTTTTTAAACAATTAGCTTGGCGTGGTATTGTGCACCAGTGGTCCTCACTACTCGAGAGGATCACTTGAGGCCAGGAATTCAAGGCCACAGTGAGCTATAATTGTGCCACAGCACTCCAGCCTGGGTGACAGAGTAAGACCTGTCTCTAAAAATAACAACAAAAGAGAAACCCTTCAACTCTTTAGTAAGAGAAATGAAATTTAAATTTATAAATGATATGCTATTGCACACCCAATAGATTAGCAAAAACTAAGTGTTTTTAAAGCTATAGAGCAACAGGAGAATTCTTATAGTGCTGGTGGGAGTGTAAACTTGTGTATACATTTAAGTGTGTGTACTTCATGTGTGCACATTGGTGTTCATAGCAGCCCTAAATGGAAAACAGCCAAATGTCTCCATCAGTGAATAAACACATACATTTTGTAATATTCATACAACAAAATATTATATAATAATGAAAACTAAAGACATCTATACACACTATATACAACAATATGATGGGTTACAGACAGTTTTAACTGGGAAAAAAACTAAGAAAATAATACAAACAGTATGAATACATTCAAACAAACTAAAACTGCCAAAACGAAGCTATATATTTAGAGTGCACATGTAAATGGTAAAATTGCAAGGAAAATCAAGGAAATTATTGAAAAGATTTAGATTAGTGGTTAGCTTGGGAAGGACAAAAGGATGGGATTTTTGAATTTGGGGATTCTTGACCTGGTGGTGGCTTTATGAGTATTGCTTTTATAATTATTTATTAAATAGTGTATGGTTTTATATACTTTCCATATGTATATCTTTCAATAAAAGATACATATATCTTTTATTGTTATATATCTTACATATTATATGTCATGTATACTTATAACATTTTTGTTATTTATATTATCAAAAATATGTATTTCATATATACATATGTAATATATATGTAATATATATGTCCTGATAAAAGAAAAAATATTATAAATTACTGTGACTTCATTTCATAGTTGTTAAGGCCCTGGTATACAATAACAGTAAGTGATGTTACACTGTTGATTAAGAAAACTGAGCTACTCCAGAATATTTTTCGTCTTTAGAATCTTGGCTCTAAATTTTTCAGCCAAATAATCTTTTATTTCTTAGGAGATCTGATAACATGAATAACAATAATATTACCAATGATAACCATAAAGGCTATTATTTATTAAGTTTCTCTAATGCATCAACCATTTTTATCTCATTGTTTACCCCTCAACAACCCCATAAGGTAAATGTTGTTATCCTCACTTAACAAATAGGAAGCACTGAGTTTCGGGAAGACTGAGCAGCTCTTGAGTCAACACAGCTAGTAGAGCTTGAACTCAAGCCTAGGCTGTGTGTCTCCAATGCCCATGACTTTCCCACTAGGCTGGGAAATTTATTTTGGCAACCTTTTTACATTAAGAAGGAAATATATGTTTATTTTAGAAAAATGGATAACTCCAGGAAAGCACAAACCATATTTGGTATAGCAATCTTATCTATTTAGCTATGGATCTCTGTATTATCATTCATCTGCTATGTATTGACAGTGCATCTTTCTTTAGTTAAAATTCAGATCCTATTGCATCTACTGTGCCCGGATCTGTCCCTTTTTCCCTAACTATGAAATTGACACATAACCAATAACCCTAGTTTTTTTTTTTTTATGGAAGTATCCTATCTATAACTCTTGTACATAGGTTCTATTTCAGTGTTTTATATATAACAAATAATGTTATGATGATATCTTCAGAGATAATATTTTGTGTACTACTCTGTTTCTTTGAGGTAAACTTCTTAGAAATGTGATTGCAGGGTCAAAGGGCATGACCAAGTTGCCTTCCATAAAAATCAGAGCAATATGCATTTTAACCAGAAGTATACAAGGCTGCCTATCTGCCCTCTGCCTCCCAGGCTTCATTCACACTGAAGATGTTTTCCATACACTAACTGGTGCTTATAATGCTTTTTACCATTTTACGAGCTGCCATGGTCCTTTTGTACCCCAGATTCTTCAATACTTTTGGACATGTAGAATAAAAGCTCGCGACCTATTATGAGTCATTACATAATAGCTCAACTTATTTTCTACCTAAAAATACAACTTTTATCTTTAATTAAAAAAAAAAAAAGCACACCTCTGAGAGTTCACCAAACTGCCCATCAGCCATTAATGCACGCCCTATGGCAGTGTTTTTCCATGTGGAAAATTTCTCCTCTCAACCTTACCCTCTTGGGACAAGGAGGCCAACATTTGGTCAGAAGAGCATGACTTGGACTTTGCACTTCTGTAATTTCATGCCTTGTTACTATCATAAGCTTATTCTAGCTCTGAAATCTACTTCCAATTTAGAAGGTAGGAGAGCATTCCCGAGAACATAAACATAAACATTGTTCCTCCAGTTCCTAAAAGTAGAAAATGATGATTCATGCTGTAGCATGGGATTTTTAAATATTGGAAATGAATATCCTTAGACTTTCCTCAATTGTTTAGAATGGATAGTCACAACAGTAGTATGAATTTTACCTTGTAGCAAGCATTTTATTTTGTGTTTTCTCATGTTTAAAATTTTTAGGCTTAAAGTATCAGTGGGAGGGGGTTACATATGTGGTATAGGGAAAGGGCGGAAATAATCCTATGGTGTTGGTTTGGAAATAGAAATATATCAGTATGAGTGTGAACTCATGATTTTTTAGAAAGAATTATATTTCCTCTCTCTGTCCTCTGAAGTGTCTACAGTGACACCCCCGTAGCAAAAAACACTCCTGGTGCCCAGGGCTTGATTTCTAAATACCATTCTGCCTAAGAGGAAGGAGGGCTCCTTGAAGAAATGGCAGAATTCAGAAACAGGGTGAAAACAGTACTGAAAGTAAGGAAGTACTCAAAAAATAATAATGACATATCAAAAGTACATAGGAGCCAGCTTGAAGGCACTTCCGTTGGCCAATATGGGACAATTTGAGCTTCAAAATAAAGAATATAGGGAGTGTATGTCCATTTTTAAAAGGCCATAAGCTCATCCTGATACTAAAGAGAGTGAGGTTCAGGATGGGGATGGAAAGCTCTTCTTTATAAAAGAATACCAATTAATAAGTATAGAAGAAATGGCAGAATTAGAAAATCATTTCACAGTCTCTGTGGTAATCATTGATTCTCAAGAATAGATACTGAGAAACGTTGGGTGATGCATTGTTGGGGAACATGATACCTATAAATTCCCACAAGTTATTTATCAATCACAAAAATAAAAGGGTTAGTTTTACATTTGAGAAGTCTGGTGGACACAACCTTAATCAGATCACCAAATTTAATATCACGAATAATGGCACAAACCGACATCATGTGCCACCTTTTGTGATGTTCTGAAAAAGATACAGTGTCACTTCTGTAGTTTTCATGCTCAGGTATAACCTGGTTCCAAGCATGAAGACACAATCAGGAAATTAGAATTGAGAGACATTTTATGAAACAATTTGTCCAAAGACTTCAAAAATATCAATGTCATGAAGGATTACAAAAAAGAGAGAGAGACTAGGAAGCCTCATCTCCACAAAAAATACAAAACTTAGCCTGGTGTGGTGGTGCCTGCCAATAGTCCCAGCTACTTGGAGGGCTGAGGCAGGAGGATCACTTGAGCCAAGGTCAAGGCTGCAGTGAGCTGTGTTCACGCCACTGCACTCCAGCACAAGCAACAGAGTGAGACCTTGTCTCAAAAAGTAAAATAAAATAAAATAAACGGAATGACCATTTCCTAAATAGATAAAAGGAGACTAAGAAGACATGGTGATTAAATGCGCTATGTAATTTTTGAGTAGATTCTGTTATGTGAGAAAGTGTCTTTTTTCTCAAGAAACATACACCAATTCATATAGGGGTAAAGTTTCATGAGATATGCATCTTACTCGCAAAAGAGAGAGAGAGGGCAAACATGGAAAATGCTAACATTTGGTGAATATGGGTGAAGGATGTATAGGTATTCATTGTACTATGCTTGCAAATATCCCTTAGAAAGTTTAAGGGATATAATTAAAGGAACAATTTGTGTAGCCACTGTAGAGGTAATAAACTGAAACTTTATGTAATATTTCTGAAAAATATTAATTTTTAAATGATCCAATCCATATTTTTATCTAATTTTTAAAACCTGTTTTATTTTCATTTTTGTATTTCGTAATACTTAGCTAATTGCTGTCACTTAGAAGTTTTAGTGGTCTAATATCAAAATTTCCTGTAAAGAAATCTGGATATTCCATAACATCATTATCTTTCTTGCTCAAAGTATCCTATCTCCAAGCAGAAAATAAAAGATAGAAATTACTTTTAAAATTACTATTAATTTTTCTATTAATTACAAAATCTTATATTGCATGATATTCATGCCAGGAGAAGAAAAGCGTGAGACTCTTAACTGTCTCCTGCTCACCATTCCTTTTCTTTGGCCCTAGGTGACCTGGCAAGTGTGGAATATAATTTATGTTTCCCTGGATCCCAGCCTTGGTCACTGGGGACAGATGACCACAAAGTGTTCAGTTTTTTCCTCTCCTTTTAACAAGCTACTTTTTGTTAATCATATTATTGGGTTTTCTTTTTCTTAATGACTCTATTGAAGTATAATTTACATATTATAAAATTCACCCATCTCAAGTGCACAATTCTGCATTGTTTTAAGAAACTGAATGAGTTGTACAGTCATCACTACCACACATCATCGGGTAAGATTCTGTTTACAATTAACCCCCATTCCTGCACCCAGCCCCCGGCAACCACCAGTCTGCTTTCTACGTCTATAGATTTGTCTTTTCTGAGCATTTTATACAAATGGAATCATACAATCTGTGCTCTATGTTTCTGGCTTTTTTTTTTCAATTAGCACAGTGTTTTCGCTCATCCATATTGTAGTAGATACCAGTATTTCATTCCTTTTAATTACGTAGTATTCCATTTGTATGTGTATACCACATTATCTTTTCCCAGTCTCCAAATCATCCGATGGACATTTTGGTTGTTTTCAGTTTTTGGCTATTGTGAATAATGCTGCTGTGAACATTCATGTGCCATGGTTTCTGTGTTCATATGTTTTCATTTCTCTTGGGTAGATACCTAGGAGAAGAATTTCTAGGTCATATGGGAAATAACTTTTTAAGAAATTGCCAACCTCTTTTATAAGACACCTGTATCATTTTATATTCCCATCAACATATTTGGTGAGGGTTCCAGTTTTTCCACATCCTTGTCAACACTTGCTTTTCTCTGTCTTTTTTTTTTTTTTTTTGGTAGAGATGGGGTCTTGCTATGTTGCCCAGGCTGGTCTCAAACTCCTGGACTGAAGTGATCCTCCTGTCTTGGCCTCCCAAAGTGCTAGGATTACAGGTGTGAGCCACCACACCCAACCTATCTTTTATTTTTTTCATTATTATTACAGCTCTCCTAGTGGGTGTGAAATGATGTTTCCTTGTGGTTTTAATTTGCATCTCCCTGATGACTGATTTTGAGCATTTTTTTTCATGTGCTTATTAACCATTTTTATATCTTCTTTGGTGAGGTCTGTTTTAATCTTTTGTCCATTTAAAAAACTGGAATGTTTTGTCATATATTATTAAGTTGTATATGCTAGATGCAGTCCTTTGTCAAATATGTGACTTCACAGTATTTTCTATACATCTGTAGCTGGTCTTTTCATTTTCATAATAGTGTCTTTTCATTTTCCTAATAGTGTTTTTTCAAAGGCAAACGTTTTGAATTTTGAAGAAGTGCAATTTATCAATCTTCGTTTTTATGGGTCGTATTCAGTGGTGATTTTTGAAAGTAAGGAAGTTCTATTGTAATGTGGGTAACAGGGATGCAGTAGCTTTTTATTTGCATTTGGGTATTTGTACTGTTGCTCCGCTTTTGTGTGTAAACATTCAAGAGGTCTTGTTCTGGAAACATTCAGAACGCTGTGTAGAAACAAAAACTCTTAGTGTAATCCAGCCGGGTTTCAATGCCAACCCGTAGACAAGAGCTGTCGACGATGTTTCTTCATGTGGCTCCTTTGACAACACAGTCTCTTACTCAGCTAATGGAAATGTCCCTTGAAAAAAATCAAGGGATTCTTTTCCATGGCTCTGTAGGGTGCTGTTTTCCTGATGTTGGTATTTTTTAGAGAAGTATAACTCCAAAATATGGAAATACTGGAAAAGTGTTCCTGGGCCTGCTCATATTCCTCACTAATGAATTTTTCCGGGTATAAGAGCATCTTTAAGCATGCAGAACATTTTATGGGTATGGACTTAGGATCCTGAGGCTAGGCTGATAGACCAGAATGAGTATGCATGTATAACCTGTTTTTTTGTGGTCAAGGGTTGTGCCAGCAGTGTGCTTGTCCTGTATGCCATCGGAAGCTGGGAACAGTGTGATGCAGCAGAACCAGACAATCAGTCACTTTTAGCATGGATTATTTTAATTGACTTGCTTTTTAGGGCAAGTAGACACAATTAAAGATCATTCTATCTAGTCATTAATCAAATATGTATTGAATGTATATTGTGCATGGAAATGTCTATATGTGGATGCCTTCCAAATTCTTATCTCCAGCCTACACCCCTCCCCGGAACTCCAGTTTCTATCTCCACAGCCTATTCAACTTGAACGTTTAATGGACTTGCCAAAGACTTCATGCCTGACCTTTCCCTCCAGAGTTGCCCTTCCCACAGCCGTCTCCATCTCAGTTAATGTTCACTCTGTCTTTCAAGTGCTCAGAAGAAAATATGCAAAGGTGTCTACCATCTTTCTTTCATACCCCATACCCAATCTATCATAAATCCTACTGATTCTAAATGTACTGTGGAATCCTGCATGGGATTCTGGAACAGAAAAGGGGCATTTGGGGAAAAAAAAAACCCAGCAACAATAAAGTATTGAGTTTAGTTAATAATAACGTTCACCATGGTTCATTAATTGTGACAAGTATACCATACCAACGTAAGATGTTAAAAACAGAGGATTCGGGGTGCAGGGCAAGGGGAACTCTGAACTACCTTTGCACCTTTTCTGTAGATGTAAAACTACTCTAAAAGGAAAAGTTTATTACAAAAAAATAAGCTAAGGAGCAGATTCTCCTGGCCTCTGGCTCACTCAAGCCTGTGGTTGGTTTGCTGGAGCCAACGAGATAGGAAGTCTGCTTTTGCGTGGTGGTGGTCCGGGTGGAGGATGTGGTTGGATCAGCAGCAGCCCACACACATCTTGCCTCTGGCAGGGCATTTGTTGCCTTATCAGTACTTCTACACAATTTAATTATACTAACAAAATTGGTAACCTCAAACCAGCTTAGTCTTTGTATAATACTTTTGTCAGATAATTTATCTCCACAAATTTATAGTTCCACTTCATTACTTTTGCTGAAGAACAAAGCTCTCCAATCTGAAAAATAACAAGCGTTTTGTGTTTTAAAAAAGATTTTGCTGTAATTCATTAATACTACATAAAATGGAAAAATATGTATTTTTATTTCACATGGAATGCATCGATCTGAATTAAAAATAAGGTTTTTTTTTTAAAAGAAGCAGAAGAGCAGCAGAGGCTGGTGTTAGAATGGGGCATAGAGGGGCTAACACAGGCTCCAAATAAGAGGTGACAATTGGCCAGGCCCTGAAAAATTGCAGGGTTTTCAAGACTGCAAAGTCCAGCCTCTGGGCAATCAAAGTTTTATGCCACTTCAGTGAATCTAGGGATGCACTACTGTGAGAGTCGGGCAGGTGGGTTGAAATTCCCCTTTCTTGGTCTGTGCAGAAAACTACGGATGAAGTCCTAGTGTTGCTTAAGGAGAATTTATGAAAAATTTATTCCTGTTTCCTGGATGCCTGTGCCTTTGACCTTTCCCTAGAGCTAGAAATGGTTGGAGACTTTGCAAACATCTTTAAGAACTGAGAAAAATAAAACAAACTTGCTAACTGCTTTCAGAAGATCTTCTATATTGCAGTTGGATATGCTCAAAGCGTAAGATGGGCAAACAGAGGTGGCTGTGGGGTTGCCACACCTGGCATTTTCCCTACTGGGGGAAATTTAATGAGCACTTAAATAATCCTGAGTCTGAAAGGGGCAGAAGGTCCAGGCAGATGATTGCCGAGGACAAATCTAGCTTTGTAAATCCGAGAGTATTGACACAATGATACGAGGGAAAGGTGAAGGTGATATTTCATCCAGTGTTCCCGGTTCATCCTCTCCTTACCTGACCTCTGAAATGGAGCCATTGGCCTTGAAAAGCCTGGTGTCTAAAATTAATATTCTTCCCCATCTGACTAAGAAGGCAACAGCTGAGCAACGTGAGATCAAGAGCCATATTAATTTAAACAGGGGCTGAAAGTGGCATTTGAGAGAGAAGATACTTCCTCTCGTAGTGGACACTTGTCTTTTCAGAAGATTTATACGACTGAGAGTCAAAACTTTTACCAGAGACTTTCATAGTCAGTTTGAATTCTGCAAAATTTCTCTTTATCTTCTGGAATGTATGCTCTAGACTTGGAGTGGCTCAAGCTCTTCGATGTGATCCTATCAATGGTAATTATCTTTGTTTATTGTTATAACCTCTCAAATCTCCTCCCCTTTTTTCTAAGTTACCTTCAATAACAAATTGTACCAAACTTCAGGTAGAGCTTAATGTTTAATATTTCTTTGCAAAATTATTGTATCTTAATCCTAAGCTTTTGTTTTAATACATTAATTTTGTGTGGCTTCCTGATCCAACTTGAGTTTCATCTGCAATTAACCATAGTATTTTAGTCGTAGTTTGCCTTAGAAATAGCCATGCATTTGTTTCCTTATTTTAATAATTTTTTCAGGGCAATTTGAAAGAATGCTAAGAATGATCTGTAATATATCTGTAGAGCTCTGGTTGATAGTATTAATATTTGCATTTTTATTTGTTTGAATGTAAGCTCTTTATGTGGATAAGTATAATTTGTTAGAGCAGTGAATTTTAAACACTTTGGAACTCAAGAGTATCATTTTACTATAGGAACTGACAAAACAAAATATTAAGTTTTCTGATGAGAATCACAATACGGTTTTTAAGCGGAGAAAATGCTCGAAGAGGCGCTTTTCGGAAAATCTCCACCAGGGGGCCTCAGTTGTCAGCCATGCGGAACTAGCACAAATTCAAATGTCTCTCCCTCTCCCTGCCTCTCTATGCAATCAAGTGATGTGTACATATAGACATGCGTATATGTCTCTAGTATCAAAGCGAATTATGTATGCTGCATTACTTCATTTGCGAGGAAAGTATTTTAAGGAGAGTGAAAAGACTCTGAACTTCTCGGTACATAGCTGTTAATGCAGATGCAAGGAAAGGTATCTGGGAGTGCTGTCCACGTGAGAAGACTGTAAGGAAATAAATTTCTTTTCACAAATAAACACCACACATTTTAAGGCATAGGTAGAGAAGAGTTCTGGAAAAGGACTCATTCGGGAGCGATCCCTCTGCAGAGGGAGGCCAGGGGAAGCAGAGAGACCCCTTCTGTGATAAGCCCTTCCCACGGGGCTGCAAAACCTGCGGTTCCAATTAAACCCAAAGATACTTTATAATTTACATCCAAGCTGGCCACTTGATCTACGGCTTGTTTTGTGCAATAAGGAGCATATTTCATCACCAGTGAATCTTGACATTGCTTCTTACTGTTTGCTTTTGTAGTTTTAAAGTGAAAAAATTTTTTTTCCTTTTAAAGTTCCAATGTTGGAAACTCAATATGAATGTTAGTATTTCTTTTCCTGATTTTGGATCCTCTCTCCAGTTTAAACAGAAGGGACTTCCAAATTCTCACTGGTCATTTTCTCAAGAAGTCAAATGCATGAATACGTGATGAGAACTTTTTGTGTTTCCTTTCTTTGCAGTCAAGAGAAAGAAGCACTGAAGAGTCATAATTGTGTCCTGATTTATAAATCGGAGACAGAGGGAGACGAAAACCACACTCCAGAAAGTAGCTTAATCGGACTCACTACTAAGATGTTAAAAGTGAAGAGGCTGGAAGAATTCAACACGTGTTATAACAGCAACCAGCTGGAGAAAATGGCCTTTTTTCAGTGCAGGGAAGAGGTGGAGAAAGTGAAGTGTTTTCTGGAAAAAAATTCTGGGGACCAGGATTCAAGATCTGGACATAATGAGGTAATCATGTTCTAATTTAGTCTCCTAAAAAGTATTCATTCTATCTTATCTTTTCTAATGTCATGGAGCCGCTTGTGAGTACAATTAAGGAAAGTTTATGAATAGGCATCATTCCACTTTGCTTCAGTGAGAATTGTGTGTGTCGACTATACAATTGTGTTTGGTAAATAATTAGGAGGCCTTTGAAACTGCATTTCTGCCAGCAGTCGACTTCACTTTTAGTTAGTGGCTTAGGAGTTATACAGCCAGCTTGCAGAAATGAAGAAGAATCCTTTAGCATGATGGATTTGGGCTTGAAATTCAGAAAAGGGCTCTGAGAGGCACACTGTTCTGCAGAAAGAAGTTTCTCCTTTTTCCTTCAGATCTTGAGTTCCTCACGCGGTAGACAGCAGAGCTGTTGATAGTGAAGTCCAGAGAAGGGACAAGAAAGACTTGCTGATGGCACGACGGTGGGGCTTGTACCCTCCTCTGTGCAGAACGAGAGTTCTGAGCCCCATTCCAGCTGCTCGTTCTTGGGAAAAATATTAATTTAACCAAGGGCTTGCCACATCTGAATTAGTGAGATAATAGCAATTGTGAAAATTAAGTGTGATCACGTCTGTAAAGCACTCCGCCTAGTATCTGTCACTAGAGTCAGCATTTAATATGTGTTAGCGGCAGCAGCAATTACCTCCCCTGCCTTGGCCCAGTCAGTTCCTGCCCATCATCCGTTGGCTCCTTGCCCGGTGGGAGCATCAAGCATTTTGCCCGTGCCTTCATTCCAGCACATGTGGTGGTTTTGAACATGTTGATCACCTTTCTCTAGACAAGGCTCCTTAAGGTTGGGAAACCTCGTGTTATTTGTTCATGTTTCCTCAGTTGCTTTCCTAGTAACGGAAACAAATAGGCACCAAAAGTGTTTTTGGAATGCACAGATCTATTTAAGTGAATTCTGGTTGAGGGCTGGGAACCATTATTTTTGATAATCAGAGCAAGTGATTCTTATCAGGCAGGTTTGGAAAACATCCTTCTTTGCCCAGCTACTGTTCTAAAAAACACTATTCAGGTAGGAAGGGCGTTTCTAACAATGCAATAGACAATGAAATAGAGAGATTGTATATAAAAGGTCTAGGAGGCTTTTTATTGTAAGTGAATAAGAAATGACAAAATGTGCTGGAGAGAATAAATGAATCAGATTGAAACATTTTTTTGAGACCTCTGCTTTCCCCATGAGTTCAATATAGACCAAGGAGAAATATCTACAGGCAAAATTAAGTGAGACATGACTTTCTCATTAGGGTTTTCAGTGGTACAAACAGGATAATTTTTTCTGTTTATTAATTTCGGTAGGACAGAGAAGACAAAATATTCTTCTTGGAGAACTTTGAAATCATCAACTAACTGTAATAGTTTATATGAATTTCATTATCTTTCAAGTACTGTTTTTCTCCAAAATCTATGATACAATTTTTATAAATGGGCAACACTCTAAAGAGTGAGATAAGCAGGACACATGGCTCATACCTGTAATCCCAGCACTTTGGGAGGCTGGGGCAAGAGAATCACTGGAGGCCAGGAGTTTGAGACCAGCCCAGGTGACATGGTGAGATGTCTATTTCTACAAAAATAAAAAAATACAAATAAAATAGCGGGCATGGTGGCACACATCTGTAGTCCCAGCTACTTGGGAGGCTGAGGCAGGAGGATTGCTTGAGCCCGGGAGTTCAAGGATGCAGTGAGCTATGATCACACCACTGCACTCCAGCGTGGGCAACAGAGGAAGACCCTGTTTCTGAAGATAAAAAAAAAGAGTGCGATAGTGCTAAGTTGGAACATAAATATATGTAGGGATGTTACTTTTGTGCAGCCAACTACATCCAGAAGTTGATGATTTGGAAGTTAAATATTTTTAGGGTGTTTTTGAGGGAAAAATTGAGACTGCTATTTAACCCCTAGAAACCATCAGAGAATGTCCTTTATAGTAAGTCTCATATCCCTTCTGTAACTTGGGCCTCCTGGCTTCCGTCCTGCAGTTGACACCCTGTGGAAGGTGGGAAGGAATCACTAGGAGCTCCATGTGTCCCATTCAATTTCTTACTTGTAAATGGAGAAGGGCCTAGAGATGTCTGCAATAAATTTCCCTGTCTCTCTCCGTCCACGTGGAGAATGGATAGGTGCATGTGTCAGAGGCACAGAGTTCTCCTTTCCATGGCCTGGAGCCCCTGCCTGCCTAGTTGGTGGGTGCCAGGGCAGCCAGCAGGCTTGGCAGCGGGTGGGTGGAGAAGGACATTCCAGCAGCTCAGATGTCTTCAGGTATGCAGACAGAGCTAGATTAACACGTCTTCATCTTCTGCTGGGGCAGCAGTAAATCTTTAAAATGCCACGCTTTTCTCTCCAGGGACTATAAAAACATGCTTGTCGATTTTCTCCACCTATTCCCCTTTCTCTCTCATCCCTTCTCTCTTTGAGGGGATTAGCACGGCTAATCATAGTAGAAACATCCCCTGTGGTGCACTGGAAAGAATGTACTCTGAATTTCAGACTCTGGTGACATGAAAGCTTTGTTCTGGAAGCTTGCAGTGCAGTTTCTTTAGAGTCTGGAACTACTCTCCAGTCCCAATAGGGGAAGAATTTTATATAGATTTAACAACTTATATTTGTTAAAATAGTTTGATAAAACTCAGATTCTTTTTGTTTTCCTGCTCTTAATCAGATTTTTCTATTTCTTTTATTTTTCTTCTACTGAATTCATTTTTAGCCATCTTCCTTCTTTCCTCTATGTTTTACTGAGTTTATGAAACACTTCATAGCCTTCTTTTCTTCCTTCTACTTAAGTAGTTCTTGTTCTTTTAATTTTTCTTTCTTTCTTTTTTTCTTTTTTTCTTTTTTTGAGACGGAGTCTTGCTCTGTCACCCAGGCTGGAGTGCAGTGGTGCGATCTCAGCTCACTGCAACCTCCGTCTCCCAGGTTGAAGCAATTCTCCTGCCTTAGCCTCCTGAGTAGCCGGGATTACAGGCGCACGCAACCACGCCTGACTCATTTTTTTTTATATTTTTTTTTGTATTTTTAGTAGAGACGGGGTTTCACCACATTGGTCAGGCTGGTCTCAAACTCCTGACCTCATGATCCACCTGCCTTGGCCTCCCAAAGTGCTGAGATTACAGGCGTGAGCCACCGTGCCCGGCCTTGTTCTTTTAATTTTTCTTGTTTGTTTGTTTCTTTTTTTTTTTTTGAGACAGCTTCTCACTCTGTCGCCCAGGCTGGATTGCAGTGGTGTGATCTCAGCTCACTGCAGCTTTGACCTCCCTGGCTCAAGTGATTCTCCTGCCTCAGCCTCCCAAGTAGCTGGGACTAGGCATGCACCACCACCCATGGCTACTTTCTGTATTTTTTTGTAGAGACAGGGGTCTCCATGTGTTGCTCAGACTGGTCTTGAACTCCTGTGCTGAAGTGATCCTCCCACCTTGGCCTCCCAGAGTGCTGGAATTACAGGCATGAGCTGCTGTGTGTGGCCTATTTTTCCTACTTTCCTTTTTATTCTGTTTTCTAATGACTTTTCTTATTCTATTATGTTCCAAAGGCTGTTCAAAATCACCTAAATTCTACCTACTGTGTAAAATTTTAAAAGTTTTCAGCAGATAACCATATGCCATAATAAACTAGATCTAAACATACGTACACGGTGTGGTGTTGAAATCAAGTAAAATTTACAAGACCAAATTGGTCTGACTCATATGAGTGATGAGCTCGATAGCTACTGTGTCCATACCATTAAGTTATAAATGATGAACAGGTTTCATAACTATAATTAGTATTATTTTTGTACAGTTGAATCTGGGTTTTTTTTCTTTTGTCAGTTCTCTGTTATCTATATAGTAAATAGCCCTCGTGTTGTATTTCCCCCAGATTTACTTGAATATTTAGTAGGATCTCTGTCTCATATACACCCCCACACCCCTTTGCTTAATGAAACACAAATGTGCCTGGTGATATTCTCAGCCAACCATTCGGCCCTGCGTGCTTCTCACTGCTTTCCTCGGTGTACCACCCCCATCCCTGCTCCTGAGGCCCGGGGTTGTCTGTGCTCTCCTCCTCCTCCGTTGGTTTTCCCCACCTGCCTGTTCACCCCTAGTTACTCATCCTCCATCCAAAAGGCATGGTCCCAAGTATAAAAGTAGGACACAGGTTGTGAATGCTCACTCTACAAAAATATGTCAGCATAGCCCACCGTTCCACATCCGCGCCTGGAAGACCCCTAAGCAAATCATTTCTGAATTTATCCTAACCCTTGTTGATTTGTGTTTGAAAGCCTTCCTTCATAGGGAATAATTCCTTTTTAAAACCTGGCTTAAGTTCTTCCATATCCCAACCAGGGGGTATCCCAAAGCTGTGGGGGTAGAAACAAGCATGGCCCCAGCAGACTCGGGACCCCACTGTCCCTGGAGTGTTTAAATGCCCGGTACAAATGCTCCCAAGACCAAGCAAAGCAAAATATTTATTAACAGGATGTGCAGAGGGACAGTGGGTTGGAGTAAAGTGTGGATTTTCCTATTTTGATTGCAGTTGGTGGATTTAACACCAGGTGGCATTTCCTGACCATCTGCTGTGAAATTGTACCATCAGCACCATCCGTAATGACTATAACTTAGATCTCAAAATAACAAGGCTGAGGGCAGAGGTTTTGTGATTTTTCAAGTTGCATTTCGCCACCTCCATCCCTGTGCTCCTCACCCTGTAAGGGCAGGAGAAAGCTCCCTGGCAGTGGCCCAGCCTCGGCAGCCAGCAGTTGCCAGATACAGTGGTGCTAATTGTCCTTGAACTGGGAACAAATACGCATTCACAGCGTCGTAAATTATTGCCAGCAGTCTCCCAATGCCCCTACACCTGTTTCAGATCTGTCACACAAGGCCATCGTATTTTTCCTTTTAAAGAGGCAGATTATTTGCTGATCACGTAACTGGAGACGTCCAGTGCAGGACTCTGCAAGAACCCTCTGTAATTCGGTGACACCCACTCCTCAGGGCAGAGCAAAGGGTGACACTGCTTGAGAAGTGCTGGTGCTAGATCAGGGCAGGGAAGGAACATATAAGCCAAGCAACATCCACAGCTGCTCCCAAAGAATGGACTTCACACTCAGAAGAAAAGACGTCTGGGTTGTAGGTAGCGTGTGCCTTCTCTCGTCTTCAGTTCTCTGGTGCTTGATCCGGTTCGTGATGACCCGGGGAGGCCACTGGCAGACTCCTGCTCTTGAGGACGTGCAGGTAGTAAAATCACCTTTATCTAAGACAGATTCATTTTGTTCGAATGTTTCCAACCTGGGAGTGACGCTTGCCAAAGTAAATGGAATGCATGCCCTGGCTGAATCTTTGCCCAGGGCCCTGGTCTTAGGGGCAGTTGAGGTAATAATAGTGGCATGTGGCACATTTCAAACACTTGCACCAACTTTTGGGGAACCTCACGGGCAGGGATTCCCTGTGCATATTAAAGTTAGTGATCTGTTTTTGTTTGTGAGAGCTAAAAATAATGTCCGTATCTCTTCCTTCTCCTACTTCTTATATGACTTATGAAAAGAAAATAAAACAGAAGCAAAAGTGCTTCTACTCTTACTAAGAAATCGATTGCAAACACAGCACCTGCAGTGATCAGCCCTTCTGAGCATAGCCTTCTCTGCTTTCTCCTTTGAGCTGTCGCCTGATAATGCATTTCATGTAACACCATAGCTATTCCAGGAATGGAATTCAGTCAGAAGCGTAGCAGAATTCTGGAAGAAGACAAATAATTCCTATTCTAAGAATTTTAGCACTTTTCAAGAGAGGGTATTCATTTTGGGGAAGACAGCTCTTTGCACATATTTGACTCTCTTATCAATTAGCATATGATAAATTATTTTTAAAACAATATACAACAGTTTAGAAAGCACTATGGAAAACAGTCTGAATCATTGTTCCTGTCTGAAGGTGGGTTTATGGCGGTGTTTCTCAGCCTTGTTTTCATTATCATCCACCCCCTCCTAGACTTTTTAGGGTTTTTTCCCCTTAGTTGACTCCTCCCATTAAATTTTAATACCACATGTATACTGCATAGCTGTTGATGCATTGTTTGTACCTCTGTGCTTTATACGTAAAAAGAGTAAGATTTTCTTCACATGCCCCCAGAAGAACCAATTTTCATTCCTTTGGGGTGCTATTGCCCCATTGACAATGCATGCAGTTAAAAAAATTTCTCTAGGGGAGTTAGACAATCTATCCCTACACCTGTGTATAAATGCCTTATTTATTTATTTTTATTATTATACTTTAAGTTTTAGGGTACATGTGCACAATGTGCAGGTTTGTTACATATGTATACATGTGCCATGCTGGTGTGCTGCACCCATTAACTCGTCATTTAGCATTAGGTATATCTCCTAATGCTATCCCTCCCCCCTCCCCCCACCCCACAACAGTCCCCAGAGTGTGATGTTCCCCTTCCTGTGTCCACGTGTTCTCATTGTTCAATTCCCATCTATGAGTGAGAACATGCGGTGTTCGGTTTTTTGTCCTTGCGATAGTTTACTGAGAATGATGATTTCCAATTTCATCCATGTCCCTACAAAGGACATGAACTCATCATTTTTTATGGCTGCATAGTATTCCATGGTGTATATGTGCCACATTTTCTTAATCCAGTCTATCATTGTTGGACATTTGGGTTGGTTCCAAGTCTTTGCTATTGTGAATAGTGCCACAGTAAACATACGTGTGCATGTGTCTTTATAGCAGCATGATTTATAATCCTTTGGGTATATACCCAGTAATGGGATGGCTGGGTCAAATGCCTTATTTATTCTTATTCAACAAGAAGCCACCAACTCGGCATCTTGTTGGTGTTCAGAAGTCGGAGAGCTCTAGGAGTCAGCCTTTCCGCATGGCCTGCGCCTTTCCCGGGGACCTTTCCACAGCAAATATTTCTGGAGCATCAAGTTCATATGAAGAGGAATTGCCCAATCTTGGAATGGCTTGTCAATCATCTGATCTGTCTTAGTTGAGGACAAAGTGAAAGAGATGGAAGAAAGGAAGAGTTTTTTTTTTAAGTAAGCAATCATAAAACATTATAATTCTCTTTAGGTCTGACCTAACATCATAGTTAAGTCTGTGTTTTTAGGCAGTCACTGTTGCCCAAGTGTTAATCATTTTTCGCTGTTTATCGTATCTCCTGTGGGAGATGCCAAGAGGACTACATTTCTCCTATGGGAAATACTAAGGGCTTTCATCTTCCATGTGGAAAAGAATGTGTTACTCACTCAAGCTATGAGATTGTAGCCCTCAGAGCATTTCCCAGTGAAAAGGCCAACAAGTTGTGTGAGTTAATTAGGAGTATTGTGGATGTATATTTCAGAATGTTTTTGCAACTTTTTAGCCATGAAGAAAATCTCTCCTAAATTAGAGTGTACAACATGTCCTCATAGCTTTTCTTATTGCTAATGAATATTTAGAAATGTGAGCAAACTATTGTCTTTGAAATATCTACAAGCACAGCAGTTTTAAGAACTGTCTTTTCTAGAGGTATCAGTGAATCCTATTTATGATATGAATGTGCTCTATATCCATTCAAGACAGAGAGCAGTAAAAAGGTTTTCCAATGTACTGTGTATAGGTACCTGCCCATGTAAATTCTGAGTGTCCTTGACCAAATGCACAGATGAGTCAACTTATGTGTATGTTGTTTCAGCTTCTTAGAGTAATTAAAATTATGATAGTTTTATGCCATTTCTGTTGTTTTAATATGAGAAAAAGACCTTTATTTGCTCTCCCTGAAAGTTAGAACAACGTCGTCAAAAATACAAATGTGGCAAATCAAGTCTGTGTACCTAAGTAAGAGAATGGTTAGCATACTTGATAACAAAATTCCTAAATATAGATGCCCAAACTACGATCCTATCCACTTACCTAAAACATAATGGTTATAAAAGGCACATTTATCTATTAGTTTCCCAGATCTTTTTTTCACACACCACTATCATGATTTTTGCTATATTTACATGCTATCTTTATTCCTATTAATATTTTTCATATGAGTCATTTAAAACATTTTTAGCCAAAGCAAAAATAAAGTGAAATCATGGTTTTGATGTTTTATTTATAGATTTCTAATGCACAGTAACACACACATAAGTTTTAAAAACGGTTTGTTACTGTATGATCTAAAACCACCTAAAGTCTCTTGCAATGAAGTGGCCCAAAGTCAGTCTCTGGACATCCGACTCAGGAAGCTATTCCAGGTCTTTGCCCTGTGGTATTTGGCCCTTTCACTTATTTGTCATTTTCTGCCCACCACATGGTGACAACAACAAAGTCCACTTCCTTCAAGAGAGCAGACATGGAGAAGACTGATCGTAGGCAGCGTTTAGTATAGAAAATGAGGAACAGGTAAAGTTTATGTAGGATTTCTTATGTGCCCAGCACCATGTCTCTACGATGTCATTCCTGAGTTCCTACCAGAAAGCAGAGCCCAAGCATGCGTGAGGGTGGCTTGTTTTGTGAACTGACTCCAGGGAATAGGTGTGGGGGCTGGAGGAGTATGAAACAGGGAAGGAAAGAAGCCCCAACAAGGTTGAGTTGCCAAACTGGCTACTTCAGACAGGATGACCTCAGAGCCACCTGCCCATAGGACTGAAGCAGGCAATTGGCACTGATTCCCCGGGCGCCATCTCCACCATCGGGGGTCTTGTGGAGTGACTATCCCCCTGGCATTTTCAGTTGCATATGCATAAATGCCAGTTCCCAAGAAGGTCCCGCAGCAATGCCAGAGAACCCTGGGAAGAAGGCGTAATGCAGTGGCCTGAGGTGAAGCACTTTCAGACTAGACCTCTATGGAGCTGGTTGCCACAGTACTGGCTGGAGCAGAGGTGGGGGAGAGCATGCGCGGAGGACAAGGAGAGGTGCACCTATTCTGATGCCTTTAAAGTCTCACTGTCAGCCATGAGGTAGGTACTATTTCCTCCACTTTACAGTGGAGACCCAGGAAGGCTCACTGACCTGCCCAAAACCCACATGCAAAAGAGCTGGGCTTTGAACCCCATGGTGGGCACCTAGCTTGCACTCTATGCCACCATGAAGGATTGTCCTGCTATACCCAACTTCGTGCTTCACAGTTAAACATCCTGTTCAAGCTGAATCACTGGGGTCAGGAGATGCAGCTTCCAGTCCTGGCCCTGCCCTCCCAGTGGAGTTCTTTAAGTTCTTTACACAACAGTATATGCAGGTCAGTTTCTGCAGCCCCCTCTACTGCACAGGGTTGCTCTTAGGGCCAAATAAAGTACCATGCATGTGTGAAAGTTCTTTGTAAAATGTAAAATGCTGTATGTTAGTACTGCTATCAGTACATTTCTCTTATGTGCTTAAGTATATTTAGGCCCTAGGTCTTCTTAAATATGGAGATACAACCTGTACAGTGCCTCCTGGCATTTTGTATTAATTGTAATGATTTTTTAAAACCTCATTTGCCATTTTTAATGGGGAAAAGTATCTGATTTGCCAGTCCATTGAGGGTGATAGTATGCTATGTGCTCAATTGGATACCAGTATAAACATAATCCATGACTCATGGCTGCCTCCACTTGGGGTTTCAGATGCACACAGGTTGTCATGGCGTTTCCATAGTGAATGGGACACTGAAGGCTGTGCTCTGACCCACAGGTTGTAACTCAAAGATTAGGGACCTTAATGCGTAGGAACTTCGGGGGTCAGCTCATTCAAACCCTTCTCTGAAGAGAAACTGAAAGTCCGGGAAAAGTCAGATGGACTCACCCAAGATTCCTTAGTGTCTCAGCTTTCCTTTAAATATTTATGCCTAGATTCTGTATTAATTTACTCAGCAAATCATTACTGAGCCACCACTGCACAAAAGACACTGTGTTGGTTCTGGTCAGGCTCTCCAGTAGTGATCTGCCTGCCTTGGCCTCCCAAAGTGTTGGGATTCCAGGTGTGAGCCACTGTGCCTGGCCGAAGTTGGTAGAATTCTTATCTCTACCTTTTAGGTGAGCAAACTGAGGCTTAGTGAGGTCAGGAATTGGCTCAAAGTTATGAAGCTATATACCATCTGATCTTTGAATGCATTCGCTTGCCCAACATATGAAACAGGTGCTTGGGTCTCTTTGTAGAAATTTTAACTGAATTCAAAATATTTATCAACTATTAACAATCCCAATAGAGTGGGACATATTTTACAATGGATAAACTTACATTAACATATCATTATCACTCAGAGTCCATGGTTCACATTAGGGTTCACTCTTGTTGCTGCACATTCTGTGGGTTTGGACAAATATATAATAACATGTATCTACTGTTATAGTAACCTAAAAATTAAAAAGTGTCAAGATGAAACATTATTTGAAAACAAGCGCTATCAGTGATGAATTTTCTAAGGACAGTTTTTTGCCACATGATCTGAAGTATGTTTTAATGATTGTTGCTTTGGTTGGTTGGTTGATTTCTTTAAGCAACTACAGCCAGCCTAGATAGATGAAAACGTCCACTTTCTTTACCACCACAAATTGAGGTTCTTCTCTGCAACTGCAAGGTGACAGTGACCTCCAGTGGGGAAAAGCTGCAAAAGTTACTGCGGCAATGCAGTGAAGTCCCAGCATTTTAAGCTAATCCTAATTGTTGGAACGAATGTCAGGCCACTCTCAGCTCTCTGTTCGTAGACACAGAAGCTGCTAGGAAAGACTACACTGGAACTAATGATTCCCTCATGCATATAGAATAAGGCTGGAAGATTATAAACTAAATGCAGTTTGCCAGCATGCTCTAAAATACTTTGTTTCATTAAACAATGTATTAAGATGTTTCCTATGCTCAGTACTCTGTTAGTCATAAGTCTTGACTACAGAGTGGAACTGACATTTCACTAAAGATAGATCAGGAAGGTGGGTAATCCAAAATTTATCCTGTTTAGCTTTTTATAGTGTCACCCACTTGCTAGTTTTGCAGGGTTGCCTACTCACATGTTTTGCCTAATAATGAGAAGTTATAATGTGACACATTCTTACTGTGCAATCTAGTTTCACATAAGACCACCAGCTGGAATTTCGTTTCTGCCTCTTGCTACTTCTATGACATCAAGGATATTATTTAGCCTCTCTCAAGTATTTCCTCATCTGGGGTTAATAACATTGACCACCCCCCCCCCACCCGCCCCCGGCACCCCACCCCCAGCAGAGTTGTTGTATAAAGCAGTTAACACACTGCTTGGCTTAGAGAAAAAAAAAAAAGCTACATGAACAAAACAATACACTCTTACTACTAATGTAGCTAAACTTTACACCATCTACCATTCTAGTAATTTATAGGGCATATTGTCTGTGACCCAATATCTTTCCTGCTCAGAGTCCTACAGATCTAGTTTCCTGAAGGACATTTTCTTCTTTCATGTCTTTCCACACTTAATTTCTTTCTGTGGGTGATGCTGTCAGGTTTCTCAGGCACTGGCCTGGGATCCTAGCATCTTGATGCCACATTGCCTGGAGCTATGGACTCCCCCTCCCTCCCTGTCATATTCTGTCAGATACCAAATTCTGCACATGATTTCTTGAAATGTATCTTACATCTCTCCTTTTCATTCCTACTGGTATGACTGCAGAATGTGTTCGTTCCTCCCCACCCCAACTGTCCTCTAAGGATGTGAACAGATGAGTTACCATCAGAGACTGAAGAAGGAGAATGGAACTTCATCCAGTCCAGCAAGAATAAGATGCCCATGTACTACCAAGGTCACAGGTGTGAAAATGCCTTGGAAAATCAAAAGCATTAAGCAAGGCATAATGGTAGGATCGTTTTATTGTTATTTTTTGTTATTTTCTGAGATGGCGTCTCGCTCTGTCGCCAGGCTGGAGTGCGGTGGCACGATCTCGGCTCACTGCAACCTCCGCCTCCCGGGTTCAAGCGATTCTCCTGCCTTTGCCTCCCGAGTAGCTGGGACTACAGGCGGGCGCCACCACGCGCAGCTAGTTTTTGTATTTCTGGTAGAGATGGGGTTTCACCATGTTGGCCAGGATGGTCTCGATCTCTTGACCTCGTGATCTGCCCACCTCGGCCTCCCAAAGTGCTGGGATTACAGGTGTATTATTTGATGTGCATAAGAACTTAGCAACATAGGCTTCGTAGAACATGAGAGAAGGCAGAGACTATTTTATTGGAGGAACGCAACTCAGTATGTCATGAGAGCCAGGTGATGGATGGCTACTTTACACCTGATGCAGACAGTGTACAAAGATTTATAAATTAGGAAATTACAGCAGTTACTAACAAAAGGGGCAGGAGAGATTCCTTTGGTGTCTTGTCCAGAACCTTTGTGTCTTAATATGTCAAATGCCAAACCACCAGACCTGACTTACCTAGCTGTTAGATACCACAGCAGAAGCTGTGTTTCCACCTTCCAGTTTCTGTCCTTTTCCCCTGAGAATTGCCACAGTCTGTTAGAGTGTATTTTTAAATGAAATTAGCTGGGGATGTCAGGAAGAATGGAAAGCCACCAGGCATACAGTCTAGCTCTGAAGCTAGTTCACCATAACATAATGACTTATCATTGAAACCCATCAGAGTCTACTTCCCATTATCTATTTCAGTATTATGTTTTTGCATGATCAATATTCTCTTATGTGAGATTTTTAATATTATTCCAACACATAATATTAGAGATTTTCAATGCAGGTTAGAGTGTTAAAGGCCCTGAGAGGTTTCTGTTAAAAAATTAGCTGGGTGTGGTGGCAGGTGCCTGTAGTCCCAGCTACTTGGGAGGCCGAGGCAGGTGATTTGCTTGAACCTGGGAGGCGGAGGTTGCAGTGAGCCGAGATCGCGCCATTGCGCTGCAGCCTGGGTGACAGAGCGAGACTCCATCTCAAAAACAACAACAGCAACAGCAATAATAACAAATATTTTAAAGCAAGCACACGGGAAGCATGTAATAAATGTTAACTTATATCTGTAACAGTATTATTATTTATCCTGAGAGCTTTCAAAATTTATTTGACTTCTGACCTTTTCTTTTTCCTGACTCATTATTAACATTTTAGGGAGCTATGAGATGTGCTTTGGGGCGTGCTGGTTTAGGGTGGACTGATGATGGACTTTGATATCAAACAGGCCCAAATTCAAATCCCCTTGGAGACCACCTACCGGCTGTGTGACCTCAGTCATTTAGCTTTTCTGAGTTTCAGTTCTTGGTTCACCAAATTGGTGTAATAATGCCAACCTTGCAGGATTATTGGGAGGATTAAATTAGCAATTTGTCTGTTAGAGACATGATCCAAAACCTTAATTTCTGTTCCGCTTCATTGTTTCTCCCCAAACCTGCTCTCATTCTCTCTCCTCTTCTATGCCTTTTGAAATCCTTCAAGGCCAGATTTAAATCCCACCACAGTTGATTCTAATTTTACCTCCCCAGTTTGCATCGACTACATACGCTGAGCCAGGTGTGTGCATAGTTTTGGGGCCCTGTGTGATAAATACTATGTCATGGGTTTGGACCTCCATTCCTGAAAAGCTGCAGCTCCGTCCCCATGGGGATCATTCTCTGTATTTCTTTGTATCCTTCACATGAGACATGTCCATTCTCAATTGTGTACTAGTTATTACCAATACATTTTAGGCATAATTTTGTCTTTGATGTCTTAGAAGTGAGGATAATGATTAATGTACTTATTTCAAATATTTAAACAATGTGATGAATAGGGCCAGCCTTCATATAGCAGAATATTTGGAATAATATAGCGTTTGTATATTTTTCCCAAGAGCTTCCAAGATTGGAATTTTAATCATTTCTAGACTGGCAGAATCAATTTTAAGCAGTCAAAGTGGCCTGACATGCCCTGGCTTTCTTCATTTACCTTCAGATCAGAGTATCAAAAATGAGAGAAAAATACCTGTAGTTCTGGGTGCTTTCTGTCCCTTTATGAAGAAGAAGGCAACCTGATTCTTGTATGTCAGGACTTGTCTGTTATTACTGAAATGGCTCTAATACGGGAAGAATTGTTTGTAATGATGGCTAAGAGGCATTGCCCAAATTCTGAAGTTCCTTCTGAATCATCTAAGAAAGAGTGCCTTAATTTGAACTTAGTTTTGTTTGTTTTACATATTCTAAGCTTTGACAGGTGCTGTTTTATGTGTGATGCAAACATCATCACAAGCTGGAATCTGATTGCTCAGAGTGGCTCCTGCCTGGGCCTCAAGCATTCCCTGGGAGCTGGCTACAAATGCAGGCTCTCGGGCCCCATCCAACCTGCTGAATAGGAATCTGCATATCATCAGGGTTCCTGAATGACTCATGTATGTGCACATCAGAGTGTGAGAAGCACTAGAATATTCATTAACCCCTGCAGTCAGATGATGAAGTTTACTTCAAAAAACTGCTGAAAGAAAAATAAAGGTAACATACTACTGCAGTTGTGAATATATGCTTACCTAAGTAATATTCATATGCATATTACATTTAAATACACACACATATATACATGTATGTGTATGTGTGTGTATAATATGTATATGTGTATGAGTGTATATTATATATATATATAGTCTTTCAGGCTATTCCTTGGGAACCAGGCAGCATCCTTTCTTGAACATTTTAAGAGCATATTTTCCTTGATAAGATAAATATTTCTAATAATAGTCCTTTCCATTAGATTTCCCAGGCCGACAAAACACAGAACTTGTCCTGTGGCCAGTTAGATAAGCCCGGGTGAGAGGACGTGTGAAGTGGCAGCACTCCCTCTGCCCTGGGAGGGTCACATTGGTCTCCTGGAGGACAGGTCTCAGTTCCAAGTTCCTCGCCCAATCAAAGGGTGGTGGCCCTGTGACAGACGCTGACAGACCGCAGCATGGAAATTCCTTGGTCTGTCCTTGTCAGCAAAGCAGCAGATGGTTTAGCGAAAGCCGCATATGTGCTGGGTAGGGGAACAACCTGTGAGATTCCATCCTGTAACAGAGTTGCTTCTGGCAGGTGCCCGCTAGCAAGGGTTTGCAGACATGAGTACGTGTGGCATGGAGCAGCTGAATACCATTGCATTCTACTGTCGCTGGTTTTAGCATGTTTTTTGGCTCATACGTTCCCAGGGTTGAATGGAAAGGTCACTAGTGTCTGGAGTCTGTGGTCCGTTTGGGCTTTGGCACTCACGTTAGATAAGTGACCTTGACTTTGAGCAAGTTTTGGGATGCGCTGACATTTATTATTTATGTATCGGGGATGAGAACCACTGTAGATAAGAATCACCTGGGGTACTAGGTTAGCATCCAGATTGCGAGGTTCCCCTAGTGCCACCAAAGCAGCGTCTCCGCGGGCGAAGCTTGGGAATCTGTGCTTTGGATAACCCTCCAGGGGTCTCATGAGAAGTGTGGTTCGTGCTGTTGAAGGGAATCCACTTGATTGCTATCCTCTCACTTTCCTCCTTCATCCTTCTAAACTCACCCTACCAGGAGGTGCCAACTGAGAGCTGAGAGAGTGATATTGTGTCATTGCTAGGGATTGGT
This sequence comes from Homo sapiens, assembly GCF_000001405.40. Classification (NCBI taxonomy): domain Eukaryota; kingdom Metazoa; phylum Chordata; class Mammalia; order Primates; family Hominidae; genus Homo; species Homo sapiens. The sequence continues at coordinate 2,733,647 of NC_000006.12, read as the reverse complement.
TAGACCTTATAATAAAAAACGTATTAAATTTTAAAACATTTGAGCTCTATCTGGGCTGACTACGCATTGCCCCTCCCTCTTACAGCTCAGTCTTGTGACCACGTAGGCTTCCTTCTCTGTGAGTGAGGCTGATGACGCACACCTCCTCGGTGGTTCCTCATTCTGAGTGAACACTCCATGCTCATTTTGGCTGATACCATTGAGTTTCTAGCTCCTCCCATTGCTTGGTTGGTTTCTGAGGTCTGCTGGTCTCTGGGGATTATGAATTCACAGAAAACTGTAGGGACTGTAGTTTTTACACATGTATTTCCATTTCCACCATAACTCTTCTGCCTTTGCATCAGCTGTGCTATGACTGAAATGGGAAAAATTTTATGGGGATAAAAATTTGGTTCTCTTATACCTAGTGAAGTCAGAAGCCTTTCTCTGACAGAAGGCTGGCTTCTTTTACAGTTTGCATAAAAGGCCTAATATGTGGTTGAAGTAGCAAAAGCCCATTTTTGCAGGGTAAAAACAACAGATTATAAATAATTCAAAAAGAAGAAGGATATAATTTGACAGTTTAAAGAAGAGCTGAGACCATTTTTGTTCTGTGTGAAAGCAGATAGAAGGGCCATTCTCTGCCTGAATAGTTATAATAAAGTCAACCTTCCTTGAATCGACTTGAGAAATTGAATGAAATCCAACTCCAGTGTTATTTAGCTCTAAGCACGTCCACAAATAGATCAAGGGAGCAGATGGGGACAGAGGGTCAAGGAAGGTTGTGAGTGAAAGAATGTTTGGAAGGAACAGCCAGGGCTAGGTGGAGTGAAGCCCAAACTCTCTGTGATGTAGGGTCACTCCCAGCAGAAACAAAGCACAGTGCAGTCCCTTTGGTCGTTCCTGCAAACCCTCTAGATTTTCAGTTTTAAGGCATCAGAGGAAACTACAGCAACCACCCAGGATGTTGGTCTGACACCCTCCTCAGGCTCTCTCAGCTCCAGTGGGTCTCGGGGGTCACTTGGCATGATAGGCACAGTGTGATGTTCCTAGGGCCACTGCAGAGCTGGCCGATAAACTCTGTCAGCCCAGGATCCACTCAGGCTGACTCTGTGGCTGTATGTGTAGACCCAGGTGGAAGCTTCTGTAAACAGAAATACAAGGACTTGTTCTACCCTGCTCTGGCTAAGTTGAGAGGATTTACTGAGTGCTTCCTGAGTGCTCAGGTATCCACTAGGATCTATAGAAGAGGCCAAAGAAATGGGGTTTCCAGTGCCCATCACGATGAGCTGTTGGACCTATGTAAATCTCTGCAGCTTGCTGAGTGGGTATTTGAAATATGGGGTTAGCGCCATTGTTCTCATCTGGGCTGCTGTGCAGGTAAATATATACTGTGCATAAAAGGCTTGGACTGTGCCTGGCTCAAGGTTAGCACTCACTAAAAGGTAGCTAAAATCATTATTAATGGTATTGTTACCATCACTCCAGAAGCTTATCATTTCGTGGAAGCTGGCATGTCTGATTACGTGAATCAGGAAGAAAACAAGGCTGGCCAAAGGCCAGCATACGTCTTAGAGGCTATGATCCTCCAGGTGCATTTTGCAGGTGTATGAGCAGGCTGGTCCAGGTCAATTTCCAGGTCTGTTTAGGCTTCCTCCCTCTCACTTAAGTTTGTGCAGAAATGGAGTGCACTCTCTGCTCCCTGGAGATGGTCAGACTGACTGCCTGTGGATGGCCTCCCCACTACTCAAAGAATGATGCCATGGTCACCTACTTGCTGCCACTTGCTCTTCCTCACCAGTCTCCTTAAAATGTCAACTTTGGAGCCAAATCTCCAGGTCCTTTTATAATAAAAGATAACCTACGCATATAAAACTGGACTCACAGAAAATAGCATTGATTCATTTTACCAGTATTCATTAAGCACCCAACGGGTGGGTGTGGGCTGGATGAGTAAGGGAGGTTGAATACAATGATTAATGAAAGAAACAGTCCCCTCCCCCACCAACCTTAGAGAGAATTCAGCAGTGGAAAAGTGTGCTCAGGGTTAAGACCAGAGCAGGTGCCATAGGAGTCCAGAGCAGGGGAATTTTATCTAATCTGTAGGGATTAAGGAAGGTATCTCTGAGCAGGTGAAGTTTCATCTGCACCTGAAGGATAGCAGGGACTAAAGCCAGGGCACATAGGAGGCGCTCAGCAAAGGCTCAGCATGGGGTGAAGGAATGCGGCCAGGCAGAGGGAGAAGCACCTCCAGCAGCCATGGCTCAGTGACCAGGTTTCAGACCTGCCTACCTAGAGTCCAGAGAAACTGGGGCCCCTTATCCAGCCCCAGAGCCGAGACACCAAGGTGCAGCCTGTTTCCATCCTCTTGTCAGTTCCCATTTCCTGATAATATTCCAACCATTTTTTTTGTCACCCCTAAAAGTTCATTCTAGCAGTTCCAGGATTCATTCCTGGGACTTCTTAGAAACGAAATTATGCTTGGTACCATTTCCCTTCCTTCTGAAATTACTGTTGCTGTATTTTTAGTATGTTTTGGGGGACTGAAAAGCATTACTTACCTCTAGTTTTCCATATAACCTCTTCTGATGACTACCCCTTTTAAATCTTTTTTTTAAAAAGGCTATCCAGCCTGAATTAGCTTTTCTGTAAGAAAAGGTCTTTCGTGGTTTATAAATTTTAATGCAGGATGCTAACTGCCAGGATATTTTTGGACCACAACCAGGGGTTTAAGCAGCCTCCCGTAACAGATGAAATGAGGCCAGGCTGAACTGCACCTGGACACAGTGGCCCTTTCATCCTTCACGTTCAAAGTCATGACACCTCCCGCTTTCAACCTTAGGATGTCAAGAATTTTCTTTTTAAAACTCGTTTCCTGGAAATAGGTCTTTGCTGTGCTAATGGATAATTTTTCACTTCGTATTTTTTTAAGATGAATAAATTCTATTTTTTTTCCTTTTGCAAATAAGAAAAAAAAACAGGGTATGAGGGGGCTGTGGTAAGCATCTCCTCTGTATTAAATAGCACAGGCCATTACTGTCCTGGATTTTTAAATGTTTCATTAGCAACAGGGGATTCCTACACTGCCCTATTCATTCCTCCTCAGACACTGGACTGATTATTTTGATTAAAAGTGCTGAGTAAGAGAATGTTGCCTGGAAATTCGCCTGTTAAGTGAATGCCAGGGCCTTTAACCACACGGGGACCTGCTCTTGTGGCTACTTACAGCCCCTCATTCAATGCTGCAATGAAGGAAAACTGGGAATTTTCAGGTTCAACCACTTGCCCCTGTTTCTGCATCCTTCCTCCCGCTATGCTGGACAATTCTCCAAGAATAATGTATCACTCCAAGCCAGCAGGCACAAAATTAAAAGAGGGGCTCCCTTGGGGGCAGTAGATTGGGAGGGATATCCTTCTACGTGCCCTGTTGGCTCACATCTTGGCCAGCTGACAGCGCTTCCCCTCCTTGGGTTTGGCCAAGGGAGCACACGCTTGCTTTCAGCCCCTCACCTCCCCAAAGGGCAGCTCCATGGAGGGTGTGAACTACATGCTGCAGGCAGATGGCCTGCGGAACGCTTCCCCAGCACGCTGTTCTTAGCTACCTGTCCATTCATTATTGTCGAACCACTGACATTTTATCTGAAAGACCCCAGATCATGAAGTTTTAAAGGAAGTATAGTGAGTTTTTCAGTAAGGCGATGTGCTTTAGGGAGAAAATCCAGCGTTTGAAGACCGCCAACTGTGTTTCTGTCTGGATGGAGGGAAGAAGTTGCTTTCGGCCCAGTGGCCCAGCTGGGAGGGATTGCTCCAGCCACCCTTCTTGCTTATATAAATGAAAAAAGATCACAGAAGCCACTGCCTTCATATAGGTCCTAACAGGGTTCTTTGTAGGTTGTCAGAAACTTCTCTCCCAATGGTCTTGGTGGGTAAATGCTGAAAAATGCCTCCTTGAGAGAAACAGCATGAGGCCTTCACCCCCTCCCCAGTGAGGTTCAAAGTCACTAAAACACATCTGATCCACTAAAGTCCAGTCTGGAAAGCATCCTGAGAGGCAGAAGAGAAACACTCCTTGAGGGAGCCTGGCCCCCTGCGGCAGGCAGGGTTTAGGGTTGGGGAACTAAGGGAAAAAATACAGGGCCCCTTGGTGAAACTGGAATATCAGATAATGGTGGATCGTGTTTAGTATAAGTTTGTAATAATCAGTACACAAACCAAAGTTATTTGTTGCGTATCTGGAGAGGTGCGAGCTCCTTTGCCACGATCTCTGTGTCCCACAGCCGACCTGCCTTGGCATCCTCGTCTCCTGCCACTTCCTGTTTTACCCCATGTGCTTGCTGGTCCCTGAATTCTCTTCCATCTGTCTTTCCTCATCCTCCTGGCCCCAGTGGCTCCCCAGCCATGCCCAGAGAGGTTGGCACTATAGCTGAGCAATAGAATGGAGTCTTTGAAATTTGCTGCATATCCTGTATTTTTATTTGCATGATAATAGGGGCATGGCCTGTAAGTGGGGCTGGCACATGAAGTGTGTGTCATAACTGTGGCTTTGCAGGAGTGTGAGCTAAAGAGCTGGAACCTTGGGATCCCAAGCGTGAGCACAGTTGGTGGACAGTGAGCCAGGAGGGAGTGGGTATCTCCTTGAACCATGGCATGTGTGTACACATAGCAACCAGCAAAGACTCCATTCTATTGCCAAGCCCTATGATAGCAAAATGGGGAGGTAGCAACAGAAGGCAGAGACACAGAAAGCCAGGATCTGCCATCCACCGTGGAGATTCTCAGCTCTCTTTCCTCTGAGGTCAGCAGCAGAGATAGCTTCTTGGGGTGGGTGTGGATGGAAGAAGAAAGAGATGCCAGGGACCCTGTTATTGGGAGGTGGGTGCTTGACAGATTGGTTTGACAGATCAAGTCAAAGCAGATGTAAATGTGCTTGGTTTCCAGGTTGGTGAAATTTTGGTCACTGTGATAACTAGGACAGAAGGACAGAAGGAAAACACATTCTGTGGCCTCCACGGGCCTCCCAGCTGCAGCCTCAGCTGGAGTGCCAACCTCTCTGGGCATGGCTGGGGAGCCACTGGGGCCAGGAGGATGAGGAAAGACAGATGGAAGAGAATTCAGGGACCAGCAAGCACATGGGGTAAAACAGGAAGTGGCAGGAGATGAGGATGCCAAGGCAGGTCGGCTGCGGGACACAGAGATCCTGGCAAAGGAGCTCCCACCTCTCCAGGGCTGGGCATCATCAGACTGTTTTGTTTTTTTTAATAAAACTCTTCAGACAATACATGATGAGTTAAATAAAAGACACAAAAGTGGTTTCTTCAGAGAGACGGGGACTCAGACCCCTCTCATTCTGTAGAAAACAGTAAGGTTCCCCTGCACTGCCTGTGTCTTACATACGAAAAACACCTAAAGACAAATAAGGAGAAACATATACAAAGTCCTGCAGCAGTATTTGCTGCCCAATGTCTGATGCCATTTGTTGGGACCTTTGTTTTTCAAACTGTGGTACCTGGATCACTTTTAAAAATAGAGATATCAGCTCTGCTACCTACTGCCTCAGTGACCTTGTACTCATTACTTATCCTTTCCGTGCCTCAGTTTAATTGTGTGTAGAATGGGGGAAAATGGAGCCCATACAAGGTTGAGGTGAGCATTAAATAAGGGCTATACCAGGGCTACTGTAAGCCCTAAGTAAATGATAGCATTTTTTTTTTTTTTTTTTTTTGAGACGGAGTCCTGCTCAGTCGCCCAGGCTGGAGCGCAGTGGCGTGATCTCGGCTCACTGCAACCTCTGCCTCCCGGGTTCAAGCGATTCTCCTGCCTCAGCCTCCTGAGTAGTTGGGATTACAGGCATGCGCCACCACACCCAGCTAATTTTTGTCTTTTTAGTAGAAACGGGGTTTTACCACATTGGCCAGGATGGTCTCTATCTCTTGACCTCGTGATCCGCCCACCTCGGCCTCCCAAAGTGCTGGGATTACAGGCGTGAATGATAGCTATTATTAATAATAATGATGATGATGAGATATGAACCGTCTTATTAGTTTTTATTTTAGAACCCTGTTCCAGGCCTATGAAATTAAAACTTCTGATCCTTCTGTCCAGATGCAACCTCGAGCGGTTTGTAGGCACTCTACAATTTTGAAGTATGACTGTCATTTTCTATGAAGAGCGGCTGTCTTTGGGGGGGTTCCCACTCACTTGTGCATGGGGGCAGGGATCAGGGCCCCTCCTGAGACTCTAGAGGAGAAGGCAGAGTTTTTCAGTGCCTCGGCCTCTAGCTCTGGGCAGCTCTTTCCGTGGCATTCCTCCAGCTCTCCCAACTTCCATTTAAGGCTGACAGCACTGCAGCGCTTTCCGGGGTCTTCTCTTTCCTTGTGGGCAGAATCTTACAGTAGTGGAATCCAGGTTTTTATGTTGAAGGCTGAGCAGTGGCTTCATTTTGCTTTAAAAGGGAGCAGGCTTTGATTGACTTAGTTAATGCAGCCACTTCTTTAAGATCTGTGAAAACTGACAGTGAGACCAGAAAGAGCAAATCCCCTAAGTTGGATTCCACCTGTTCTGCCCACATCTCTGAAGCCACACAGTGGGCTGAAAAAGGCCACCTTTCAGATGGCAGAATCTGACACGTTCACAATGTCAAAGTATTTTGTGTCACAAAACTGATCTCTCCCGCTGTGAGATAATAATACAGTTTTAAGATATTTACACAGAAATTTGTTTTAGCCCAGGTAATCATTTGGTTAATTATATAGTAGGTGCCCGGGCACGGTGGCTCACGCCTGTAATCCCAGCACTTTGGGAGGCTGAGGTGGTGGATCACCTGAGGTCAGGAGTTCAAGACCAGCCTGGCCAACATGGTGAAACCCCATCTCTACTAAAAATAAAAAAATTAGCCTGGCATGGTGGCGGGCGCCTGTAATCCCAGCTACTCAGGAGGCTGAGGCAGGAGAATTGCTGGAAGCCGGGAGGCAGAGGTTGCAGTGAGCCGAAATCCCGCCACTGCACTCCAGCCTGGGCAACAAGAGCAAAACTCTGTCTCAAAAAAAAAAAAAAAAAAAAAAAATTGTATAGTAGGCACACAGCTAAGGATGTGGGAGCTACTTTAGTTTGGAGTTCCCTGGCTTCTCACTTTGACTTCTCATATTTGGTAATGACCTAACAACTCTGGGCATGGTTTTTGTCTCCTCTAAGTTGGAGTGAGTAATTTTCTCAGTGACTGAAAGGATGCAATTTACGGAAGCAGCCCCTGCACGCTGAGATCTGGTTTCAGGCCAGCTACTCGCCTAACAGTCCAGAAACCCTTAAAGCTACTTCCTGGCAAAATGGCTACGACTCTGCTGGCCCTGGGCTCCTTCTCTCCTCTCACCTACTACATCTTTCTGCTTTTTATTACATTGGTCTATAACCCAAAACATTTTCCTTTTTTGCGATTTTGCTGTTAGAGAGTCTCAAGGTAATCTTTGGACTTTAATAACAGTATATGTTTTCCAAACACACTGGATATGTAGATTATTTCTCAGTCTTTTTAATGCCTTAACTCCATGAGATGTTTGCAACTGATAACGAGAGAAGTCAGCCAGACAAAGGGACGACTCAGCGCTGTTGGCCACTGCTTACTCCTTGGAAAACCCCTCAAAGTCTGTCTTAAAGATAAGAGACCAGGGTTATCTTACTCACCTTGTTATATAAAAACAGACCTTCCAAACACTGAGCTTGTTCCGTGCTAGAGCGCCTTATGAAATAGAGAGCTCGTGGCTGGATGATCGGTTATCAGGTATATTATTAATATCACAGAAGGCTGAGTGAGAGGCACTCACGTGTCCCTCCAAACTGCAGGATTCTTTGATTTTTAAAAATGTTAAATTTGGACGTACTTTGAATTCTGATGTATATTCTCCCAGAACACATGAGGTTATTTCAAGAAGTGCTCTGCCTATCGATAGTTAAAAGATAAGCTTTACATTCTACTTATCTACAGGATATTCTTTTTAAAATTTTTCTTTCTTTCTTTCTCTCTCTCTCTTTCCTTCTTTCTTTCTTTCCTTCTTTGTTTGTTTGTTTGTTTCTTTCTTTCTTTCTTTCTCTTTCTTTTTCTTTCTTTCTTTCTTTCTTTGTTTCTTTGTTTCTTTCTTTGTTTCTTTTTCTCTCTCTCTGTCTCTCTCTCTCTCCCCCTCTCTTTCTTCCTTTCTTTCTTGAGATGGGGCCTTACTGTGTCACCCAGGCTGGAGTGCAGTAGTGCAATCATTGCAATCATAGCTCATTGCAGCCTTGAACTTCTGAGCTCAAGCGATCCTCCTACCTTGGCCTCCCAAGTAGCTCAGACTGTAGGTGTGTACCACCATGCCATGCCTGGATAATTGTTTTAATTCTTTTTGTGGAGATGGAGTCTCCCTATCTTGCCCAGGTTGGTCTTGAAATCCTGGCCTCAAGCAATCCTCTCACTTTAGCCTCCCAAAGTGCTGGGATTATAGGCATGAGCCACCATGCTTAGCCCCATATTCTATTTTTGTTTGTTTTTGAGGCAGAGTCTCACTCTGCTGCCCAGGCTGGAGTGCAGTGGGGCTATCTCGGCTCACTGCCACCTCCGCCTCCCAGGTTCAAGTGATTCTTCTGCCTCAGCCTCTCGAGCAGCTGGAATTACAGGTGTGTGCCACCATGCCCAGCTAATTTTTCTATTTTTAGTAGAGACGGAGTTTCATCATGTTGGCCAGGCTGGTCTTAAACTCCTGACCTCAGGTGATCCGTCCACCTCGGCCTCCCAAAATGCCCAGCCTATTCTTAATTATATATAGTTTTACTATGCTTGAGTTGTGTTATGGGCTTTAACTTAGAAAATTGTGCTTCTTGAATTAATAGAATACGAGGTCTCCCTGTCACATGATCTTAATCATCAAGACATTCGCTAATTTTCTATTTGTGTGTTGCTGTGCTATGTACAATATTCAGAGACAGACCGGGCTGGGCTCTGTGTTCACCGCATCATTACAAAATGAATTCCCTCAAAATATCCTGCAAGAAATGCACTTTGGAGTAGGCTCAAATGTCTTGGACTTTTTAGCAACTGATCATAAAAGTCTGAAGGATGGATTTCTGTAGTGTGATTTTAACTTGGGAGTAAAAAGCTTTATCCTTCCCTTCATGATTTCCCTTTTGGCTTTTACCGACCCTTCACACTTCCTTTCTCCAGCACCAAGTGACGAAAGGTCCCTGCATACCTTTCCCCCTGCGTTAGTGATTGATTTCTCCCTGGCCGGATCCAGTTGGAGGAACCCTTTCATAGCTCCTATAGATCTGAACCCTCTGGGATTTCTTAATGTGCCCCTATCCAGGACAACTCCTTTTTGGAACCTCAGGAGCAGGAACACTGGGAGACATGGGTTTTTGGTGACAATGACTAAGCAGTCACTGGAAAGTCCTCTATGTGTATCGCCCATCTGTAGCAGATGCTGGGTAAGGGAGGGAAAACAAGGTCATCTTTAAAATAATCAATCAGCCAGGCATGGTGGCTCATGCCTGTAATCACGGCACTTTGGGAGGCTGAGGTGGGTGGATCATTTGAGGTCAGGAGTTCAAGACCAGCCTGGCCAACATGGTGAAACCCCGTCTCTACTAAAAATACAAAAATTATCCCAGTGGTAGTGGCACGCACCTGTAATCCCAGTTACTTGGGAGGCTGAGGCAGGAGAATCACTTGAGCCTGGGAGGCGGAGGTTGCCGTGAGCCGAGATCACGCCACTGCCCTCCAGTCTGGGTGACAGAGTGAGACCCTGTCTCAAAAATAAAAAATAAAATAAAATAAAATAAAATAATCAATCACCAAAGCCGTTGTGAAGGGCATTAGAAACTGACAAAATAACTGTGTAGAAGACAACCAAGTTGTCTTAGATCCCAGAAATAGTGGGGCTCCAAAGTGCTGCCAACCTAATGAAGGGTGTCTCTTTAGCCAGAGATGACTGGAGGCAGAGCTACCCACAGCCCGACCACTTCTACCTGAGCTCTTATTGAGGATGCAAAAAGCCAAAACCGTAAGTTTACAAGGTGCTCTGATGGGGCCATGAGTGAAAAGGAAATATGGAAAATTGATTCTAAGTGAAAGAGCAAACGCAGACCCTGGGGTGCCAGCGAGGGCGAGAGAACCTCAAGCTAACTCAGTGTGAGGGACGTCAGCAGTTTTTTTGAGAGATCTTTGCATCTGTTTTATTCCCCAATATTTGAATGCTCAATTGCTTCAGCAAATTTGTTTCAAATTAGAGCTTTAAAATAAACTCTTCCCCATGTTTCACAAATATGGAGAACAGAAAGTTTTCAGTTAGAACCTTACTGAATTATCTTAATAATTATCAGCACTCACATAACTTTTTCTTTTCTTTATTTTTGAGACAGGGTCTGACTCCGTCACCCAGGCTGGAGTGCGGTGACGTGATCTCAGCTCACTGCAGCCTTGACTTCCCAGGCTCAAGTGATCACTGCACCTCAGCCTCCTGATTAGCTGGGACTACAGGCATGCGCTACCATGCCCAGCTAATTTTTTTGAGTTTTTGTAGAGATGGGATCTCACTATGTTGCTCAGGCTGGGCTTGAATTCCTGAGCTCATGCAATCCTCCCCCCTCAGCCTCCCAAAGTGCTGGGATCGAAGGTGTGAGCCACCATGCCCAGACTCAGCTTTTTAAAAAAACTTAAAAAAGCAAAAATATGAGAAGCTGGTATATTATTGAAAAAATGCATATTAAGGTGATACAATAGGTTCTCAAATTGTCATGCTAAGAATTGGGGCAATTCATTCATAATTAAAACATTATATATAGGATGTATAAAATATTTTTACTTAAAAATCTTTGTATTTTTATATTCGTTATCCATTTACATAATTTGAAGAGTTATAATGTTTTACAAAGCCTTTGCTAAGACACAGCAGTTCCTACCCATTCTGTCTCCATTCCCCCTCACCAGAGGTAAACATTTTCATTTCCTTTATCTGATTCTTTTGTTATTTACCTCCATGTGTCTAAATAATATGCATGTGTTCGTTTTTCTTTTCATATTTGGGTTTTGAAAATTGACTTCTGTAGAGAGAAAGATGAGGATTAGGTCTCTTCTATTTTCCACCTCCAACACACACACACACACACACACACACACACACACACACACACACTCCTTTTATGTCCTACTTCCTGCTCTCATTCTCTCAACATAGTTATATTATAATTTTTGGTTAAATAAAAAGTGCTTCAATGATTGTGATTTTGAAAATGTTATTATTCATGGCTGAAAGCTATGTAAAGCACTACTATAAATTTTTATTTCTTGCTCAGCTTTTTCTTTTCCCTGGAGTTATTGGTTGCCTTGATTTTTAAAAACTTGCTTATTTTTGAAAGACGCATCTCATACTCTAAACCACACTGTATACTAATTGTCAAAATCCTTTCTACATGCCTTCAGATTTATTAAATATTCTATCAATTTTATCTTCTTGAAGAAATTTCTCCAAGAGACTTCTAACCAATCTGGGCTTTATTCTGTTCCACAGTAGTTGCCGTCTAAGTCTGAAGCACAGCTGGTATCTGAGGATTTCAACTCTCCAACAGTCTGGAAAGACCCTGTCTCTTTATGTTGCATCACCTCTGTTAGATATCTTTTGCGTTCCTTTCTTATTTTACTCCCTGTTTAGATGTCATACATCTTCCAGTAGTTTTCTGAGAATGATGGAGGATTGTATATTTTTGAGACCTTACATTTCTGAAAGTGTCTTAATTTTATATGTACACATTGATAGTTTGACTTTGTTTTCTATTGTCTTCTAGCTTTCATGCAGCTGTTGAGAAGTCCAAACAAGTTCAGAATCCTGATCTTTTGTGTGTGGCCTATATTTTCTCTCTCTAGCAACTTGGGAAACCTTCTATTTGTCCTTGTATTGGGAAAAGTTTCTGCCAGAACCAAGAACCACTGTCCGTAAGTGGAGGGAAGTTCAGACTGAAGAAAGAGGCAAAACCACTTTAGGTTGGTAGGTAGTCAAAGGTTTATTCAGGAGGAACTTACATATGAGGCAGTCTTGGGTAGCAGGAAGAAGGGGTAGATCTCTGAGCTTGCGATGCATGCCTCTCTAACCTTTTATAACACAAAAAGAAAAGGGAAAGAAAATAAAAGTCATAGACGGTGTGTTAAACCATCCAGTTGCTTTCTTAATCTATTTACTTTCTACTGAAAGAAATTGGATCCCCTACAATCTGGTCAACACTCCTAAAGCAGGGGCAGTTATTCCTGGCAGCAGCAGTTATCTTGGTCCCCCAGTCACTGTGTCCTGCAACTCACTTTGAGGTCACGTACCCAGAATGCATTTTCATAACATCTGGATTTTCTGAAATTTCACAGTGGTAGGCTTTGTATGAGTGTTTCATTCATTGTGCTGGACATTTGCTGGGTGCTCACATCCTTCAGTCTAGGAACCTTTCTTGGATAGTTTCATGTTCTCTTATTGTTTATTTATTTATGTATTTATTTATTTTTGAGACAGAGTCTTGCTCTGTCACCCAGGCTGGAGTGCGGTGGTGTGATCTTGGCTCACTGCAACCTCTGCCCCCCAAGTTCAAGCGATTCTCCTGCCTTGGCCTCCCGAGTAGCTGGGACTACAGGCAGGTGCCACCACGCCCGGCTAATTTTTGTATTTTTAGTAGAGACAGGGTTTCACCATGTTGGTCAGGCTGGTCTCCAACTCCTGACCTCGTGATCCACCCACCTCAACCTCCCAAAGTGCTGAGATTATAGGTGTGAGCCACCACGCCCAGCCCACATTCTCTTATTCTTGTTCTGGAACTCCTATTATTAATATTTGGATGTTAGATCTCTTAGTCTAGTCCTTTACGTTTCCTGTCTTTTTGCTTTTATTTTTCTTTTCTATATCTAGTGGCTCTGCTTTCAGGGAGACTTCTTTACTCTATTGTGGAAACTTTCTTTAAATTTTCTTATCTACTATCATAGTCTTAATTTCCAATAATTTCTTTTTATTCTCTGAATGTTTCTTTTACACGAATCCTATTCTTGTGACATAGATTTAATACATTTTCTTATTTCCCTGAAGATATTAGGTTGGTGCAAAGGTAACTGCAGTTTTTGCATGACTTTTAATGGCAAAAACTGCAATTTCCTTTGCACTAGCCTAATATCAATGAGTAATTTTTAAAGTTCTCATTTCCCTGCATAATCTCTGTTGTCTCCAACTTGCTTTGTTTCATTAGTTTTAGTCTCTGCTTTTTTTTTTTTGTTTTTAGATGGAATCTTGCTGTGTCTCCAGGCTGGAGTGTAGTGGCGCGATCTCGGCTCACTGCAACCTCTGCCTCCCGGGTTCAAGCAATTCTCCTGCCTCAGCCTCCCGAGTAGCTGGGACTACAGGTGCCAGCCATCACGCCCGGCTAATTTTTTGTATTTTTAGTAGAGATGGGGTTTCACCATGTTGGCCAGGATGGTCTCGATCTCCTGACCTCGTGATCTACCCGCCTCAGCCTCCCAAAGTGCTGGGATTATAGGCGTGAGCCACCGCGCCCAGCCTAGTCTCTGCTTTTTTAAAAAAAATGTTAGGACAGTGGTCCCTAAACTTGTCTGTGTATTAGAATCACCTGGGAAATCTTTAAAAATTCTAAGGACCAGGTAAATTAAATTATAATCTCTGGGAATAGGACTGATTTTTGTATTTTTAGTAGAGACGGGGTTTTGCCATGTTCACCAGGCTGGTCTCGAACTCCTGACCTCAGGTGATCCACCCGCCTCAGCCTCCCAAAGTGTTGGGATTACAGGTGTGAGCCACCACATCCAGCCCAGACTAATTTTTCTGATGACAAATGCTGCTTGTTGATGTGAATTCTGATATGGCACACACTTGAGCCTCACTTTGTTAGCTATTAATTTGTGTTACTGAATTTACAGGCCTGGAATACAATTTGTGCTTCTTTTTAAATAAATTTCATACTTTTTTTTTAATGGACTTGTAATCTACCTGAACTTGAATTTGTTGAGGGTTTACGCTAATGAAAATAACAGAAAGACAAACTGTGAGATATATCATGCCATTTATAATTAATAAATCACCAAACAGAGGCACAAACTTCAAGGGCTATAAAATGCCACACATTTTCACAGACAGTTAATAGTAAATTATTTGGCACAGACCCTTCTGTAGCTGGGTAGGAAGTTACTGTATTTAGTTGCTTTCAAACTCGTAATTTTACCTGTGGAAGGGTGGCCCTCTTTTGACTCTTTCAAGAACTATTATAAAACATGAGATGTTTGTGTGCATGTGTTGGGGGGATTATGCCTTACCCTTCCAGTTTACAGAAATGCTGCTGGTTTGTTTCTTTTTAATACCATTGGTCTGGTCCTCCTCCCCTCCCCACCTTTCTCACTGATAAAAATTCAATGTACTGGTCTTTATGAGTGAAGCTGACGGGAGTGTTTTTTCGTGTATGTGGGTGGATGTGATCCAGGAATGTAACCCAAGATTTAGCTGCATGTCCTGCCCTTTGAAGAGCCTTTTGTAGAGAGTTCTAGCTTTCCCTAAGAAGCCCTAGGACTTTTGTTCAAAATGAGCGCCCCGTTTTCCCTCATTCCTTGCTAATATGGTCTGTCTGCAAGAACAGTCCAAAGTAATGTCAGTGGGATGGTGGAAAGAGGACCACATCGTGAGTCCAGATAACTGGCCTTAGAAAGTTACTTTATGGATCAAAGGAGACTCGTGACTTCTAGCCATATCTAAAGGCGTTCTTAATGTAAAAGAAAAACATTCACAGACTTCCTTATCATAGCAGCCATACTTCTGTTATTTCCTGTTGAGAAATTACATGACTAGTAGCTATTTTTATTCAGTTGTTCTTTTGAATAAATTTGATTCTTACTAACCACACCAGTATAAACAAACATCTGAACAATGGTAATACATTCAGTAGTGCTAATATTTAGTTAGAAATTGTATGCAGCTTCTAGAAACAGAGCTCTATGCCTGGTGGATTAAATATTATACATAAAGATATCGGCCCTCACAATAAAGAAGTCCAGAGGTGTTGGTTTATAGCCAATGTCTCTGAAATTCTCTGACCTTTTCTTCATGGTCCCAAAGTGGCTGCTGGAGCTCCTACCATATCTGCTTTTCCTGCAGCTTGAAGAAGGAAGGATGATGGAAGGGCAAAGAGTTTTCCTTGAAAGGTTTTTATAATTTTTATGCTTATTTACCAATGGCTACCCCTTCTTCAAAAGAGGCTAAAGGATGTAGTTTTTTTGGAGAGCACATTATCCAGGTATCTGTTAGAATAGAAGAAGGGAGAAGGATATTGGCTAGGCTACTAGCAATCTATGACTCACTCAGTCTGTAGACAATGTTGGAAGTACATCTGGAATCATGAGCATGGTGGGGATTCTTGGTGTAGGTTTGGAGACCGCAGCACTAGATGTCTAGGATTTTCTTTTCTTTCTCTTTTTCTTTTTTTTTTTTTTTTTTTTTTGAGACAGAGTTTCACTCTGTTGACCAGACTGGAGTGCAATGGTGTGATCTCGGCTCACTGCAATCTCCACCTCCCAGGTTCAAATGATTCTCCTGCCTCAGCCTCCGTAGTAGCTGGAATTACAGGCATGCGCCACCACTCCCAGCTAATTTTGTATTTTTGGTAGAGACGGGGTTTCTCCATGTTGGTCAGGCTGATCTCGAACTCCCAACCTCAGGTGATCCGCCTGCCTCGGCCGCCCAAAGTGCTGGGATTACAGGCATGAGCCACTGCACCCGGCCGATGTCTAGGATTTCTTATATCTCTCACACAATGATTCTATGAAGCCGACATCCTGGAATGCTGAGTTTAAAGCACTTCTCAGAGGAGACAGCATGTAGCAGTGAAAAGAGCACTGAATGTGGAGTCAGAAGACATGGATCTAAATCCTGAACTATTATCAGGAACTCAGGCAAATTTCTGGACTTCTCAGAGGCCCAGTTTTTCTCCTATAAAAGGGAAAAAATAATGTCTACCCACAAGCTTCTGCTGAGGATTGGATGAGGGCGTCTTAGTGCACTATCTCAAACATATAGGTGTTTATTCAGTGTGACCTTAGGTTGAGAAGCCCAAGATTACAGTCTAATCCCAAATCTCGGGAGAGCCAGGGAAATGTGACCTTCAGGACCAGCCCCACTTAGGGGGTGCTGAACTGGATCTCCCAACGCCCAACAGCCATATTGTACGTTCCCTGGCCCCAGAAGCAGGTGTCAATTGGATTTCGAGAGGTGTGAGGCCTGCTGCATTCTGCATGTCTGCTCTGGAGGTCTGCTTAGGGACCTGCTTTATATTTCAGATTTTCATTTTTTATACTAGCTCATTTACAGATGTTTGATCAGGTGTGAACTTCTACCAAGAAGACCGTAAAAAGGAAATTTAACAAGTGAGTCTGAAATGGCATAGGAAGGGTCAGACTTTACACAAATTACGTACTGGACTTTCAAAACGAACAAAGCTGCTCTTTCTTTCTCATTTCCTCAAGACGTTCCTGGAAGGAAAGTTCAGGAGTTCACCTTGCCTGCAGTGGCTGCTAACCAGGCAGTCATACCAACCTGTTTCTGCTCATACTGTCCCCTTCTCTTGGAATGCCCTTTCCCTCCTCTTACCTGGCAGAACACCACTTCTCCATTAAGGCCTAGCTCAAGCAGCATCTCCACTTTAGAGCCTTGATACCCCAGGGCCCAGACTGAAGAAATCCTTCTTCTATTGGTGTAATGCCTGTCTCTTATCTTTACTATAGTAACATCAGGCATTATTGAGAGCTCACTATGTTCCAAGCACATCCTAACTGCTTTACATATTTTCATTCATTTTATATTCATAAAAACTCTGTCAGATAGGAACTACTATCCTCATTTTACAGGTGAAAATTGAGGTACAGAAAGGTATAGCTTGTCCAAGATCACATGGCTAAGAAATGGCCAAGTCAGGATTTGAACCTAGGTTCTTGACCAATTACAGTACACACATGGTAACTGATAATGTGTGGATCAGTTTCCCCTACTAGGTTGTAAGGAGTTTTCTGCCAGGGCTCTGTCTTACTCCTCTGAGCATAGCCAGGTCTTATCTTGAATGAATGAATGAATACCACATACTAGCATGTGGTAACAAATTCAAACTACAGAAAATAACTGAAATAGAATACTCGATGCCCCCGATTTAAGTTTCTATCTGCATAACAAACACAGTCAATAGCTTCTTGTGATTTCTTTGAGATGTTTTAATGCACACACCAGCATATATGTATTTTCCTTAAAGGATTTACCCAAACAGGATCACACTTAAACACATTCTGCTCCTAGCTACTACATACAGGTATAAAGATAATTTTCAACTTCTGACAAAGTGAAAACCCTATGAAGGGGTGATTTATGATGTTTTGGTTAACTATGATACTTGAAAATCCTTTGATTTTGTGTCCATAAAAATAGTTGTCCTGACCACATGGTAGTAACCTCAAATCCTTTGGTGATGAGGGAAAGAAATTAGGAAAGAGAGATAATTATCTGTCTTAACCAATGTGCTTGTCCACAATGTTCAGACTCATTAAAGGATTCTTCCTGTATTTTCTGTTACTCTGTATTTACAAAGAAACATTTACTAGAGTTTAAAAAAAAAATAGGCAGCAGAGAGCTTTGACCAGAGTGCAAAGGTTCTGGAATCCCTGGGGCAACAGTCGTGGTAGCCTGGGTGGTGGCAGTGCACGAGGAACCGTGGAATCCTGGTCAGCACGGAACAGGTCCCATAAATCTTGGACTTTCCAAGGGCCTGGAGTTTCACACGTGTTCTGAGTTATTTGACTATGCAAACATTTCATCTCCTCTGGCAGGGAAAACCCTTTCATATTCCATATGCTACAAATAGGCCCCTCTCTCAGAAATGGGGAGACAGCAAGAATTTCTGCATTCATGAACCTGAGACAAGCATGTTTGCTAGCGGTTTTGACCCTCACCTGTAAGCCAGACACGTGAAGCAGGACTAGCTAATTCTTGGAAGTCAACTTTGATTTAGATGTCTTGTAGGGAGATGCTCCTTTCCCCTAGATCCAACAAGTCCCCTGTACTCAGGTAGGAGGGAAAAACCTCCTGCTCATACAACAGGTAATGTTAACACCACGCTTTTCTCTGCCCAACATTGTTTGGATCAGCCAATTTTCTTCTCAGAAAGGTTCCAAACAGCAACATAGATGAAATTGGCTTTTATGACTTAAAAAAATTGTAGTAAAAGACACATAACATAAAATACCGTTTTAACCATTAAGTGTCCAATTCAATGATGCTAAGTACATTCACATTGTCGTGCAGCCCGTCAGCACCATCCATCTCCAGAACTCTTTTCTTCCTACAAAACTGCAACTCTGTACCCATTTTTTTTTTTTTTGAAACGGAGTCTTGCTCTTGTTGCCCAGGCCAGAGTACAATGGCAGGATCTCAGCTTACCGCAACCTCCGCCTCCCAGGTTCAAGTGATTCTCCTCAGCTTCCTGAGTAGCTGGGATCACAGGCGCCTGCCACCACACCTGGCCAATTTTGTATTTTTAGTAGAGACGGGGTTTCTCCATGTTGGTCAGGCTGGTCTAGAACTCCTGACCTCGGGTGATCTGCCCACCGTGGCCTCCCAGAGTGCTGGGATTATAGGAGTGAGCCACCACGCCCAGCCAACTCTGTACCCATTAAAGACCAACTTCCCATTCCCTGACCCCAGCCCCTGGCAACCACTGTTCTACTTTCTGTCTCTATGAATTTGACTACTGTAAATGGAATGACACAGTATTTATCTTTTTGTGTCTGGCTTATTTCACTGAGCATAAAGTCTTCAAGGTTCATCCATGTTGTAGCAGGGATCAGAATTTCCTTTCTTTTTAAGGCTGAATCATATTCTATTGTGTGTATATACCACATCTTGTTTATCCATTCAGCTGTCAGCGGACACTTGGTTTGTTTCCACCATTTGGCTATTGTGAGTAAGCTGCTATGAACACACGTGTACAAATAGCTCTTGAGATCCTTGCTTTCAGTTCTCATGGATCTATACTCAGAAGTGGAATTGCTGGGTCATATGATAATTCTGATGCAGGACAGGCGAGCCCCCAAATTGGGGCTATGCCCAGGAAAGAATTCAAGGATGAGCCAGTGACGTTAGTCAGCAATCTTTAATCAAATGGTACTGCTCTTTGCAGAGCAGGGCTGACTCATAGGCAGTGCATCCAGAGTGCAATGTGTGGGGTATTGGCAACTGTATTTACACTCATTCAAACCCACTTTCAATTACATGCAAATTAAGGGGTGAGTTAATGCAAATTGAGGGGCAGTTTACTTAGAACTTTCTAAGAAGCGGGGGTAACTTCTGGGACGTTGCCATTGCATTTGTGAACTGTCATGGAGTCATGGGCTGGTGAGATGTGTTATGCTAATGAGCAATGGGGCCAGCTGGGGATTCCTTTGGTTGCCATCTGCTGGTTTTGGCTGGTTTCTTCACTTCCTCTGACCGGGTCCTGGAAACAAGTCCTGCTGGTCTCCTACCTCAATTCCATGTTCAGTCTCTTGAGGAACTTCCACACTGCTTGCTGTAGCAGCTGCACTATTTTACATTCCAAACAACCGTGCACTAGGGTTCCCATTTTTCCACATCCTTGCCAACGCTTGCTATTTTCTTTGTCAGTAGACATCCTAATGGGTATAAGGTGTTATCTCATTGTGGTTTGGGCTTGTATTATTTTTCACCCAAGAAAAATCATTCTTCATCCTGGGTTTGAGTGGGAGTGGCCATGATTTATTTGTGTTTTGAAGAGGAATTTTTACCAAGCCGGTTTCTCTACTGAATGGGAGCTCAGGGCAGCTTTGCCAGCCTATGCGTAGGCCTAAATATGGGATACAACCTTTAAAAGGTACTGGCTGTACCACCTGGCCCTGCTGGTCCTCAATGACCTCCCCAGGGCATTGCTAACAGTTAAATCCTGCCCTGACTCATGGGATGGGGAGTGAGTTCTCTTTAACGTAATACCAGGGCAGCTTTGTGCCTCCTGTTACGTAAAGGGAGAGCGTTGTTCCAAGTATCAGGGCCATGCATGGATGCGACTCCTATTTCACCAAGCAGTGGCAAAGACTCCACACTGAGACACACACAGAACCTTCTCTTTTGGCCATGGAGAAAGGATTCTGTGCACTGCTCCATTTGTGCAGAACTTGAAAATGCTTGCTGAAGGAAAGACTAAATCAAGTTAGTATTTATGTTGCTTTTCTTTTCTTTTTTTCTTTTTTTTTTTTTGAGACGGAGTTTCACTCTTGTTGCCCAGGCTGGAGTCCAATGATGCGATCGATCTTGGCTCACGGCAATCTCTGCCTCCTGGGTTCAAGCGATTCTCCTGCCTCAGCCTCCCAGGTAGCTGGTATTACAGGCATGCACCACCATGCCTGGCTAATTTTGTGTTTTTAGTAGATATGGGGTTTCTCCGTGTTGGTCAAGCTGGTCTCGAACTCCCGACCTCAGGGGATCCACCCACCTCAGCCTCCCAAAGTTCTGGGATTGTAGGCATGAGCCACCATGCCGGGACTATGTTGCTTTTCTTTTTCCAAAAGCGCTTTCACATGTGTCACTGTATCTTGGCCTCACAATAATCTTTGGATCCAATGGAAACTGTGCCCATTTGACAGAGAAGCATAGTCTTTGAGATGTTAAATGCCTTCCTCAAGGGCACATGTCTGGTTAGCAGAAATGGGATGAGAACCCAGCATCCTGGCTGTAGATCAGTCCTTGGTTTTGAGAGAGAGGATCCCATCCAGGAGTTAACATTTTGTGGATTTAAATGGCCTGCTTTCTTCAGGACTTTTCAGGGTTTGAAGCAAGGTACTCTGTTGAGTGGGGGCAGAGAGTAGCTTGTGTCCAGTTTTTTCTCCATGAAGTCTTGATGTGTGAAAGCCCGATGCAGCCGTCTGGCTCTGTGAAGAGAGGCACGTCTCATTTGGGCCTTCTGAACCTCAGTGGGTCCCACTTAGTGTACCTCAAAATCGTTGGAGGTTCTGTTTGTTTGATTCTGCTTAGCTTAAGTTTAGAAGCTATTGCTTATGACTTTTGTGATCACTAAATCTGTTTCTCAAAACATGAATGTCATAGACTAGTGAATTTGCTGGGTTTTCATTGTCACCATTGTTCTGTTTAGTGCAAGTCAGAGATGACCTTTTACATCACTGGCGATGTACTTTGAATGCCTGTTGGCTCTCTACTTGAGTTTAAAGGGCCTGAAGTAGACACATGGGTCTGGGCAAGCCTACCCATATGTGGCCTATCTTCTGGAATTTGCTAGCCAGGACCTGCATGTCAGAGAGAGTACGTGAGTGCTACTGAACACAGCTGGTGACTGCCGTTGATGGACAAAAGGGAGCCAGCTTAGATTTATAGCTTCTCTCCACAAAGGTCATTTATCATCTCAGGTGGCCTCTGCTGAACATGAGCCCCGGAACATGATGAAGCTGATGTTAAGGGAGAGTGGCATCCGTGCTTGAGGACTTTAGATTACAGTGAGCATTAGTGGAAACATGGTGGTGCTTTTTTTGAATAGACCAGTTAACAGCAGTCCGTCTTCTGCTTTAAAACAAAAGATGAGAAAAATCTACTTCAAATGGCCAGCTCTGAATATATCCTGATACATATTTACCTGCATAATGTATAACTTGTATTTTCATGATTTACATCTTTACAGAAGCACCTTTTGTCAAGGATATCATGGTTGGAGGAAAGAGCTTTAGTTATTTTGAAAAACATTTATCATTTGTATGTTGCTTTTTTGGATGAAATGCTTAGAGCCTACTTTAAAGTTATATACCTTAAAATTTGCCTTTAAAAAAAAAAGATACCCAACTTTAGCATTGTTAAAAGTTGTTTTCAGTTCATGGATAATGTCACATACTAAATGTGTGTCTCAGATGCCTTTCCAAAACATCTTTGCACTTCTTAGCTTATCGAATAAGTGCTGCCCCATTAAAGTGTGTTGCTGTGAGGTCGTGGTCCTTCCATAGAGCTGACACCCCATAGCAAAGCTCATGCAGGATAAACAGAAAATTGTCCTCCTATGTCATAGTAGTGCAAAGTTTGAAAATACAAGGAGCATCTTCCCCCCATTTCATTTTATCTTTATTGAGCCATAGGCAAGAACATTTAATGAGGAGATTCTGAAGTAATTGGAATCTAAGAATATTTAGAACATGGAACCACCTGAGTGTGAAGGTAGGAGGATGCTAACACATCCAGAACACTAACAATAATTTGTAACTTGAGTTCATTAAGAAAATATCATGCTAAAGTCATCTTACTTCCTTTTCTCCATGGTTACTAAACTAGTTGTTGATGGTAATACCATGATTAGATTAATTTCTGCAATTGAGTTTCTTACCATGTCCTTGTGGGAAATTCAGAGGCATGGAAACTGGATAACAACAGCTGGGTGAAACTGTGGCACTGATACGTGTTAATTAATGGACTGATATGAACCTGAGCAGCAGTTCTTGCCATTTTCTGTTGTGGCACACACGGAGGAGGATGTTCCCACCCTGGTCTCATGTACACAGCTGTGTGTGGTTATGCGTAAGCCAGCAGAATGGCCACAGTTCCTCCCCTGTGTCTCCCACTCAGGAAAACACTCCTGGAGACAAGTGAGTGCAAGAAATGTTATTATAAGGAATAAACTTGAAACCACTGATTTGAAAAAAGAAAGGCTGGCAAATTTTATTACCTCGGACATTGCTGATAACAAATTATTGGTGATAGTATAAGCTACTGTAAGACAGTCTGTGCTATGACACAGCCCTTCATCCTGTTCAGGCTTTTAAACACCAACTTTAAAGAACACTGAAAGCCATGTGTCTAATTTTATTGCTGGAACACCAGGGGTTTGGTCTAGGTCTTGTTTCTTGCAGCACAGAAAGCCTGTCACTGAGATTTTGAGTCTTGCCAGGGAAGAAGGCTTTATTTGGGTGCTGCAGCCAAGGAGATGGGAGATCTGTTTCAAATCCATCTCCTCAACCAGCTGAAATTAGGGGTTTTTATAGCAGTGAAGAAATGTAAAACAGGAATTAGGGAGGGGTAAGGAAGCAGAGCTGGTCAACAGAAAGGAGGTAGTTGTTTAAGCAATCATGATGGATAAGGAGTCTGGCATTTCATTGTCCAGATGTGGTGACCTGGTGAGTTTTAGTTCTTTGATACTGTCTGGGAGACCTGATGGTTGGTTTCCTGAGAAAGGAACTCAGAGAAGAAAAATGTAACTTTTTTAAGTTTTAAGACTTGGGGAGGGAGTGGGGGCTGTAAATTTCTAATAAGACACTATGAACATCAGTTCTGTGGGACAACTGGGCCTATTTCAATCTCCTAAGGAACCACATGGCTTGAGAGCTTTAATACCAATGTTGGGGGATCAATTTCTATGTTTATTCAACGCAGCCTGCAGGAGTGAGGCATCATTGAAAACCGGAAGCAGCATTCAATGTCAGAAAACTTACAAGTGAGAGAAGGTTTATATTAGTACTTAAAAGCTATTAATTTTTAAGAATATATTTTTGATGCCTCCATGTAAAAGGGTTTTATTTATGTTTTATTCCAAATGGACATCTCTCATAAGTAGAAATGTCAACATAGCCAATTACTACTTAAATATTTTTATATTTTAAAGAAATGATTTCTTGTTTTAATAAAATATATATTCAAGTATGGAAGATTTTATTTTATTTCAGCTCCTGACTGTTAGTTTCTTGGGGACAGAGACAGTATTTTGGGTTTATTTCTCTGCTGTCAAATCCTAGCACCTCCCAACACCTACTCTTAAAGTTTGGTGAATTAAACCATCATTAACCAAACCTGAAAGGGAAATCTTGGCTGGGGCTACAGAATTCACTTTCCATTTAGCACAAGCTTTACAAATTAGAGAGATCGTACATTAGCAAGCTAACCCTAGGGCAATTGTTCTCAACTCAATTCAATCTGTGACTGAATGTTGGAATCACATAGGTTGCCAAAGAAAAACATGCAGAACACTAGTTCAAATGGAATTGCAAACAGCGTTTCTCTGGGTTGCCATGTGCTGTACTTGCTTGTTTGTTGAATTCCTGGTGCCATTCATGAACCTCAGTCCTGGGGCTTGCTGTGGCCCTGAATTCTAAGGTGGTGAACCTCCTTTGTGAGCTATGCCCAGTGGGAAGGTGCAAGGCACAGATCTGTCTGTGTCTGGCTTTGAGTGGGACACCATGCCTCACGGGCAGATCCACAAGTAAGACGCAAGTCTCATGGCACCACTGACAGAAACTGAAACAACGGGAAGGCAAGCTAATATGGAGTGTTAAGATGTTGATGTAAAATGATGTTTTCTTTTTGATATGTAAAGTTTGAGATCCTTACAGCATGACCAGATGTTAAGATCTGCTCATCGTTGTGTGATAGAAATAAAGACCGAATTTTGGAATGATTGGTGCAGAGTTGAATAGAAAGGGCTCATGAGTTTTCCAAGAGGAAAAAATCTCAGTTCACTGTTCATAGATGACTAGTAGACAGTAGATGAGATGACCGATAGAGGGTTATGATGGCCAAAGTGGGAAGAAATGTCAAATAGCAGTGAGTTGTTCTGATTAAACATAAATGATGAGTACCACTAACAGGATAAAGGCCATAGCAACCATGATCATTCTGTTATTATCATGCTGAAGAAGGCAAAATATCTTCTAAAAGAATGGGGACAATCTGAAATTTTATAGGTACATGGCTTGAGAAGGGAGGTTAAACTTTTTCAAATTTTAAAAATAGTAGCTTATTTAGAAAGAAATCAGATACTGTGTTCAAGGCTATGAGAGAATATACGGAGACGCAAAAGGCAGAAGATGAACCCAGGCTTTCCTATAATGTTGACTTCTGCCTTGAAGAAACGATGTTTCTTCATGGGAACTAGGACTTTTAGTTATGAGTCAGAGTACAAAGTGATAGGCCAAAAGATTAAGTAGACTAGAACATATAGTCCTGGGTGTAACCAAAACAACAACCTTTGTGAGAGTTGAGAGCTGCCAGAATCCCTAAGCATACTAGAATAGCCGATTTACTTTGGGGCTGCCTGAGACTAACAGTTTAAGTCAAAGTAAATATAGTTTTTTGAGATTGGATAATTTCTCTACTTTGTTAGCAGAGGAAATGGAAAGGTGAGCCACGATTTTTTTTTCTCCCATAGCCAAAATGATGATGAAGGTTACATTGTATGGCAAATCTGTGAAGATGAACTTTGATGAACAAAGATCAGCACTTTGGTATTCTCTGAAAAATCATTCCCAAACCCAGTAGAGGAGAATGTAACAAAATGTAATGCTCAAAGGCAAATTTTTAAAACTGAGGTTTTCATCAGGGAATAGTACTCAGAAGCACACATTTTTATTTCTGAGTATGAATATGTTTGTAGATTCAGTGTCAACTTTCCCAACTTTTATTTTGGAGTTGGTGTTCTTTGATTATTACTTGAACTTAGTAATGAAACTGACTTTAACATTATTAATTATTAAAATAAAACATTGTTTTGAGAAAGTGTGTTTCCATATAAGGTTGAGATTAATACCATCAAAATTTCTATTTTTGAGTTTTAATAAAGATATTAAATCATCCAGGGGAAAAGATTATATACACTCTGTGAATGTGAATATGGTTAAATGAGTATTGATGGGAGCAATATTTTAATAAAAATATGATGCTTATGAATGGTATGCTATTTCACTAAAAATACATATCCATATTTTATAACAAACTAGTCTTAGTTACTTAATCACTTGAAAAAAAGTAGATTTTAGGATTTTGATTTGTTGATTTTTTTTGCATCTGAAGTCTCAATTTTATAGAATGCAGATTTTCTTAGGTGTTGTAATCCTTATTTGGTTCGTTTTCTTTAAAATTCAAAAGAAAAAACACATTTGACTTTGACATTTATTGTCACAACTTTTAGTGGAGAAAAATTTGGGGGTGATACTAACTGAAAGTCGAATTCATAAAATGTGCTTAACACTTTTTATAGCATCTACCTGGGAACTGAACTTACTTATTTTAAATAACACTACTTCTCTATTAGGAGAAGTTCATGCCAGTATGATTAATTTTGTGGGGGTGAATAGAAAATGAACAACAGCAAAGTAATAGCATGCGAACTTTTCATGTTGCGATTTGACTGATGTTGCTGTAGTAAGTTGTGTGTGCGTGTAAATGTGCGCCACCAATAATGAGATCGGTTTGAAAATATATTGCTGTATAACTGAATTAAATCAAAATGAAAAATTTTACAGTGATTGTTAAATGCCAAATTGAACTGATCTCATTAAATGTGAAATTCAAGTATATTTATACTGTGGACTAAATTTTAATACATGAAAATAATGAGATATGGCCATAATAGTTGGAAAAAGTTACTATTCTTAAAGCAGTTTTTTTTATTTCACAGTTTAGATCTATTTTCTGCAGTTGGTTGAAATAGCTTAGGACCTGAGTATGGAGTATGTAATGTCTCTCAGTTAACAGAGGAAGAAAAACGTATACTGTCCCGTGTTGCTTTGTGCAGGTATGTTCCTGTGATATTTACTTCAGGTTGCTACCTTTATGTGCAAGTGGACGTTCACAAAGAAGAAAAAGTTCATTAAGCACTTTGAGAAAGACGCAGCTGCATGTAGTAAATACAGATGGAGCCCCATTTTATATGGGGCTTCTAACTGAAAACAGACTTTAATTCTGTTCTTGGAATACCCATAATTGAGCTTTCCATCTGTGATCATGTGTTTCTGCTGCAGAGGCCAGCTGTCACCTCGTCGTAGGCATTGATTTACTTATTACTGCTCTGAGTGTAGTTTAGCATGTTCTCCGTGAAGGAGGAAGAGCCAGTCTGCATTGCTGTGGCTTCCTATGGAAATGCACGCCCTGGGTGATACTGTACCTCTCTCCTCCTCGAAGAATTTCAAGTGGGGCCCTCTGCCAATCAAGGAAGTAAGCCAGCCCCTCCTGGCTCCCACACGCTGTGTAGTCCAAAGCTAAAGTTTCTCTTTCGATACCACAGGTGCTAATACAGTTTTCATAATCTTGTCCATTATTATATCTATATTAAAAAAAGCTTCACTGAGGTATAAATTTATATACAAAAAATTACACGTATTTAATATACACGTTTTGATGAGTTTGGACAAATGCATACACCTGTGATACCATCACCACCATCAAGTTACTAAACTTATCCATCACCTCCAAAAATGTCCTTTTGTTCTTTTGTGGGGTTTTTTTTCTGGAAAAAAAAAAAGTCACTTTAGAGTGACGAATAACGTGCTTCTCACTATAGCGACCTGATACCAAAACATAAATTAATTCTTATGCTTATACAAATACCTAACACAAATTAATCTATAGTTGCCTACTCTTCTAAACATCACAGAAAACAGTATACAATAACAGATAGAATATTCAGAGCTGTGTGTCTTTGAAAAATGCATTGTGATGGCTGGATGTTTAATGAGAGAAAAGATCATATATTGCAATGTCCTATGACATTTTTAAAGATGAAAGTGTGGGAAAAGATCATCAATATTATTCAGTGTTATCGACGGTCATCCCTTTTGGCAAAAACATTTTAAACATTATTAAAATTTCCTGTAACTAGGTGAAATTGGGTAGAATCTCATTTCAAGTTGAGCTGATTGGGCTACAATGCTCTTTAAGGTTTTTTTTTTTTTTCCCCCGAATTCAAATGGATTACATAATTTGAGAAATTTTCCCTTTCTTTGTCTTATTTTGAGCTTCTAAAATACTATGTTCTTTTGTGGTAAATTGTATGGTTGGGAATACAAAACAGTTACCTTTCTAACCCAATGGACTGGGAGGCAAACTCCTTCCATTCCCGTAATTTCTTTGTAATATAAAATTTAAATGTGATGTTAAATCTAAGTTGTTTTTTCAGATTTCTTCTTGTTCTGCCTTCAGCCAACATGGAAAATAAATGGCTGATTTACACAACAACAAAAAGTGCTGCTTTTTGGATTTGTTTTGGTTTCATTCACCAAAACAGCAATTTCCTGCCTTGGAGAATAAGAGATTGTTATTCTTATTTGAATCAGCAAATCAAGCTCCCTGCTTAAACAGGGAACACAGGCTCATTGCCATGGATGACTGGGACCAGGAATTTGAAAAGGACCTGGAGGGGCATGTGTTACAAACTCAGACTCTGTATACCCCCATCCCGCTTCACTCATTACTACCTCCAAGCAATGCTTGAGAAGAAACTTGAGAAGAACCTTGAGACTACTCCCATCACCCTCCCTTCCCTTTGTAGAAAGGGGAATGGGAAACTTTGTTGAGAAAGTCCTCAGTAGAACGATTTCCATGTTGACAGTTCCTAATGCAGTGAGGAGAACCTAAGAACTGAACCCAAGTGAAGGCCTCACCTGCTGAGAAATGGGGAAGAACTAAAAACACTAAATAAATCAATAAGAAGCACACAGCCACCCAAACAAGCATCTTGCTTTCTTCTGCGATCTGTTATAAAGACATTTTTGCTTAGCAATCTGGTTACCACTAAATCATAATCACAACAGAAGACAGATTCCAAGGGTGGAGATATTTGGAAAAGCACCCGAGAATCGGTGTCTTGCAACCATATAAAGTTTCTGAGGATGCTCCTTCGCTGTGCTAAGCTTTCTTCTAGCTCCTGTGACATCCTAGAACTTTAAAGCTGAGGGGACATTAGAGTGATGGATATGATGTATAATTGGACTGGCTACTTAGTTGCCATTAGAAATATATTGTAAAGGACTTTAATAGTAAAATGCAAAGACATTATTTAGCACTTGATTTGATGTTGGGCTAGGAGATGTGCAAAGAAATTTAACCAGACATTTCAAAGGAAAGAGCTACTCCCTGCTCTTGCCTTCTGGAAAAATTAGTTTCCATAATCATAATAAAGTAAAATGTGGCAGCAACAATCCCTAACTCTAACCTCATTTCCCATGATCAAAAGTATTCATGAAGTATCTCTCTGGGCAAACATGTTAAAGCATGCTAAAGAAGTTACGGCCAATGCAGAAATATGAATAATAGATCTTAAATATATACACTAAGCAAATGAATGTTTATAGTACATGTTCTGATTTTTAGTAGGTCTAAGAAATTTGAGAAGGTGATCAAATGGTAAATTACTTCAAAAACCATACTGAGGATAGAGTTTCAGATGCTGCTGGTGACACAAACATTTGAATTTCTACAAAGGTCTGAGAAGACTTAGCTTTTCTTCCAGAGGTCCAGGACAACAGATTGCGCTGCATGGACGTGGGACTTGTAGGTACCACAGGAGTCTGGGAGCTGGACATCAAAGTGTGATGCTGAGGAGGATGTAATAAAGGGCATGTAATGGCAGCCCTTGACAAAAATCTTCATACAGGTGGTTGAGATGATCAGTAAATACAGCCTGGCATCAGTTCCCCCAACCCGACCTTCTAATCAACAAATCAGTCAATCAATCAGTGTTTGTCATGAGCTGACACTGAGTTAGATTCTAGAGATACTGAGATGCCTTGAGGGAGTCAGAAATGCAAACAAATCATTCAACACAGTGTGATAAATCCACGAAGATGTGTGGCCAACAGAGGCAGAGAGAAGGTGGACTCCTCTTTAGGTAGAACATATGGGAGGGGAGTGTTTAAGAAAGAATTCGCCTGTAATCCCAGCACTTTGGGAGGCCGAGGCAGGCAGATCACGAGGTCAAGAGATGGAGACCATCCTGGCCAGCATGGTGAAACCCCATCGCTACTAAAAATACAAAAATTAGGTGGGCGTGGTGGCACACGCCTATAGTCCCAGCTACTTGGGAGGCTGAGGCAGGAGAATCGCTTGAACCCCGGAGGCGGAGTTTGCAGTGAGCCGAAATCGTGCTACTGCACTCCAGCCTGGCGACACAGCAA
Source organism: Homo sapiens (assembly GCF_000001405.40). Lineage (NCBI taxonomy): Eukaryota > Metazoa > Chordata > Mammalia > Primates > Hominidae > Homo > Homo sapiens. Next base: position 2,703,700 of record NC_000006.12, on the reverse strand, counting down.
GACTCCGTCTCAAAAAAAAAAAAAAAAAAAAAAAAGAATTCACAAAGGGAAACCTTCCTGAATTGGGTCTTGAATAATGGGTAGGAGTTCTACCTGTTTTCTCAAAGTAGGGTCACTGGACCATGTGCATCAGAATCACTCCCAGAGCTCATGAAAAATGTCCTTGGGCTTCAACCCAGACCCATAGATTAAGAATTTCTGGGGAAGGAACTTTAATAATTTCAGGGCCACCGTCCCAGGGCCTAAGGTAGGTAAAGGCATTGCTGGTAGTAACTCTTTTACCTCTCTTCACTGTTGTCCATTGCTCTCTCCTTGACTTTCAAAGCACACTTTGATTCCGTACCTAATAATGAACTTGCAGGGATAGCGTAAATATTTTTAAAAACTTCTTATTTAAATATTAAATATTACATGGCCAACAGCCTGTTGTTGTGGCCACATGCCTTCATATGATACTCTTTTTCCCTGGTCTGTACACTAATAACTGGGAGTCCACAGTTGCTCACGTATCAAGGTGTACTGCATTGGACCAGGGTCCTGGGGGCCCCCTCCATGCTAGATATTGACCCTATAGTTACTGGTCTTAGGATGGTCCTGAGGCTGAGAGGAGGCGAGGTCGGGAGGTTGGAGGAGCTCCTGGGAGTCTCAGAAAATCCCCTATTTACCAGCCAGCATGGAGGTATTTCCATGTTTTAATAACTAGGATGGTACCAGCATACCAGCTGAATATTTCCCCCACGTCCACAATCAAACAAAGGACAATGAGACAAGAACCCGAAGAGTTCAGCTTGGTGTTCATGTTCTTCATATATTGAGGGCTTAAGCATATCTTAGGAGTAAAACACAGACCGATCGGGGGTGTTGGAGGGTATGTACTAGCTGTGTACTTAACATTTTTAATTAATTTATTTCTAATTGACAAATAACAGTTGTGTATATTCCTGGGGCACGGTGTGAAGTTTTGATCTATGTATACATTGTAGAAAGGGTCAATCAAGCTAATTCACACATCTACCACCTCCCCAACTTAACACTGTTTTGTGGTGAGGATGTTAAAAATCTATTCCTTTAGCAATTTTTAAATATGTACAGTATGTTATTAACAACTGTGGTCACCAAGCCGTGCAATAGTTCACTAAAACTTATCCCTCCAGTCTGAGACTTTGTACCCTTTAATCAACAGCTCATCTTTCCGCCTTCCTTCCCCACCCCACCCTTCAACCTCTAAATTTTGATTTGTAAGAACTATGCTAGACACAATACTTTTATTTTCTTTCAAGTTGATAGTCACCTTTATTGTAGCCAGGTTACAGCACTTGTATTAATTCTAACTGTATTCTTTGCATTAATCCTGACTGCCTAATTTGCATTTTGGGGCCCATCAGAATACATTCCTAATTCTCCAGAGCTTGGTTTGCCTTGGTTTTCATCCTGTCTTTGGGCCTTAATGTTGCTCTTCTCTGAGGCCTGAGTTTGGGCAATCTGTCAACCCCAGAGATTAGTGGAAAGTTCCAGGCACATGATACCTAGTTATGCATGCTCTTCCCTGAGCTCCAGCGGGAGTCCTGGGCCTCCTGAGCAGCTCACGGATGTTCCACACAGTGCTGGGTCTCCACCAACTGCTGCCAGCAAGGCCAGCGGCATGCGGCCCCCAGTGAATGCTGTCTCGACTCCCTCCCCGCTCCTCACTGGCTTCCCTCTGAGTTTACCCAAGTACGAGATTAGCTCTTCAGACGCCTTGTGGATGGAGGCAAGATGTAAATAGACACACGAGGCTGGGACACATATTTTGTAAAATGATTCTTCGCACCAATTCATGACGTATATTAACTAGGTCAACGCTTCTGAAATTCTAACATGTATGGGAACCACCTGGCCATTGGTTAAAGAGCAGATTTTGATTGGGTGGGTGGTGGGGAGAGGCTGAGGTTCTGAGGTTCTGCATTGCTAGCAGGTTCCCAGGAGATGCTGCTGCTGCGGATTCACCAGCCCACTTTGCATAGACTGGACCAGGCGACTAAATGTTGGGGACAGTCATAACTGATTAGTTTTTTACCTACGCAGTTTGTATTACAGACAAATTCATTCATTCAGAGACATTTTTGAAGAGCTTTGTAGTATCTCTTTGCTTTTCAGAGGTAGCTTTTCAAAAGTCACTTTGCTTTGCAGTGTGTGTTTCCTGTGTAGGGGAAGATGCAGAAAGGTAAACCATTAGGAGGTTAAGCATTTTACTCCTTGAGTCTAAGCGCAGATCTCTAAATATTCCTGCAGTCCAGGGGACCACACCTCGCCTCACATTAGGAAACACCAAGCCCCTCTGAGCCTCGGCCGGCGTGCCCCACTGCAGGGAGGCAGTGGGGCTCGGGGAGGCCGAACTGAACTTAGGCTCAGAGTGGGAGACAGGAGATGAAGTGATAAAAAATGATCTTAAAATAAAAATTAAAAAGCATACCGAGAACCCCATGTGAAATGAAGGCTCTTAAAACTGTCTGCGGCGGGAAGAAATCAAAGAGTTTTATTGGGTGATGAAGAAACACTGTAAACTTCATGCGAAAACATTCCAAGGTTTGGACTTGCGTTATGAAAGGGAAATTTTACAAAGTAAGACTCATTTTAATGAAATGAACATGAGGAGCTGTGATTCCATTTGAAGTCGGTTGACACACACATGCACTCACGCTCTCAATTTCTTAGTAGCCTCACTGCACAGTTTTTGAAGTGCTCAGGTGCTATTCTGGTGACGGAATCCCAAGAAGGCAAAGCATCCCTTGATGTATAGTTTTTAGATATACTTTTACGCAAAGTGCTATAAATACTTCTATGCCCTGAAAGGTGATATTTCTCCACCTCAGCCTGAGTCCTCCTCTCTTCTGCTTACCTCCATTTTAATGGAGGAATTAAATCACTTTCAATTACTAAATTTTGGCCAAGAAGCAAGGCAGAAAGCTTTCAGGCAGAGGACCAGAGGCATGGTTGGCAACGTTGGATTTTTTATTTGTTGCCCTCCCAGGATGCCCCATAGATCATTTTTGGAGGGAGGTTTTATGGGTCTCAGGGCCGTTTACCTTGGCCTCATTTCCACACACGTATCCCTGGGTGGAGGATAAGGAGGAGGCAGTGGTTTGCTAGATAGTCCATCCTGGATAGGATCAAAGACCTTGCTTATCGGGGGGAGGAAGAGGGATTCCAGTGTTGTTATAATTGCTCCAATCTGTGACCAGAGGGAGCCTGGCTGGTAAGAAGGCCTCAGAACAAAGGCCAGAGTGACCGGAGGCGACAGAGGAAGTGGGTCCCCTCCCTTTTAGTACTTTACAATCCCTGGGGTGTGGGTGGGTTAAAAAACACTGGTGTTCTGGCCCCACTCAAGACCCAGTTTATCAGAATCTTCAGGGGAGGACCCAGGCATTAATAGTGTCCAACATCCCCAGATGGTTGAGAGCCACATATTAGAACTTAGAACAGTTTGGATAACAAAAACAGGTGGGGTGGTGGGGCGGCAGGGTGAGCAATGCGAGTTTGAGAGGGAAAGAAAGAGCGGCCTCAAGTCAGAGGACTCAGCGTTTTCTCTGTGGGGAGGACAGGTAAGGTGGCAGTGGGAAGAAAATAACAATATCAGACTCATTATAAGGTGTCAGCACATCCAATGGGTATAAGATGGGGGAAAATAAAATCTGTGTTATCGAACTACTCACTGTGGCCACATAGGTAGGTGAAGATTCTTAATTTGTTCATTTTAAGTGGTTGTTTTTAAAATTTACACAGACAGGCTGGATAGAAGAATGGAGGAGAGAGAATATTTGTAATAATTTGTAGCTGTGACCCACAGCCTGGACCCCCATGGTGGCCAGTAGATGTTAGGGGTTGGCCACCCCATCTTACAGTTCTGTCCTCTACCACCAGGCTCAAGCGCTGATCTTTTCAAACCTCCTCAGCTCCGAACATATAACCCTTTCTACAACAAGGGAGTTATCAGGATAAGAAAACTTGGAAGTATATTTATAAAAAGTTTTGATGTCAATAAGGAATAGCCTGATGGAGTAAATTTGACCATCCTGGGCTCCACACGGTCTTTTCTTGCTAGCAGAGGCTGTTAAATATGGTAGCAGCTGGGCATGGTGGCTGACAGCTGTAATCCCAGCACTTTGGGAGGCCGAGGCAGGTGGATCACGAGGTCAGGAGTTCAAGACCAGCCTGGCCAAGATGGTGAAACCCTGTCTCTACTAAAAATACAAAAAAAAAAAAATTAGCCAGGTGTGGTAGGGGGCACCTGTAATCCCAGCTACTGGAGAAGCTGAGGCAGAGAATTGCTTGAACTCGGGAGATGGAGGTTGCAGGGAACCGAGATTGCGCCACTGCACTCCAGCCTGGGCGACAGAGAGAGACTCCATATCAAAAAAAAAAAAAAAAAAAAAAGAAAAGAAAAGAAAAGTGGTAGCATGCTTTCTCTTATGATACAGCTCAATGTATATTATAATAAAATAAAGTAAAATTATCCGTGCATCTTCATTCAGTGGATGATCCAGTTAGGCTTTCCTAAATCCACACCTTTAACTTCAGGCTCTTTCTTGGTCTATGTACTTGGAGGGTCCCATTTACTTGGCTTCCGAGTGAAGCACTGTGCACATAATTGTGGGTGCATGGAAAGGCTTTAATTTTCCTGGCGGGGTTATTTTCTCAGGTGACTGACTCCACCTGATGTCATCAGCAGCCTGGGGAGGATCCACTTACTGAGTTCTGAGAACAGGTGAACACTTTCCCTTTCTGGATTTGGTCAGTCAGTTTCTGTCCTGCCTTGAGCCATGCCAGTCCCCACAGACCATGAAACAGGCTTTGCTTAGTGAGAATTCCTTTTATCACCCAGGACTTCAGGGTTTTCTCGCTTCATACATGGAGAGTTTGAGTGTGTGCTGAGGTTGAAGGGAAATAGATTTGCTTTACAAACAATCTCTAGAAGTATCTTCTATGCTCAGGCAAGAAAATGTTTTCATATTTCTTCTGAAAATTCATCTCTTTGTATTCTTGTAGGATTTATTTATTGTTCTCTCCCCCATTAGGAATCTAATCCAAGTTTAATAAAGTCATTATAAATTGTTATACTTTTGTTTAGATATTTCTAGAACTTAGGTAAAATGGCCAAAAATTGTTCATCTTGGCATTTCCACAAACAGTAATATGCAAAACTGTTATTCAGGGTACATGACCCAGCGTCCTCTGCTAGCAAGAAAAGACTCTGCGGAGCCCAGGACTGGTCAGATTTATTCCATTAGGCTATTCCTTTTTCACACTGAACTTTTAGAATTTAAATACACTTCCGAGTTTTCTTATCCTGATAACCCCCTTGTTGTAGAAAGGCCATGTGGGTGATACGTTCAGAGCTGAGGAGGTTTGAAAAGACCAACACTTGAGCCTGGCAGTAGAGGACAGAGCTGTAGGACAGGGTGGCCGACCTCTAACATCTACCTGCCACCATCAGAGTCCAGGCTGTGGGTCACAGCTACAAATTATTACAAATATTTGTTCTCCTCCATTCTTCTATCTGGCCTGTTTGCAACAGTTTTAAAAAGAACCAGGAATTCTCTATATGTTATGTTATGAACACAATTTTCTGCAGCAACTGTAATCCCAAAATGCATGGCCGTTGATATTGCTGGCCATCGGCTATGTAAATTCAGGGCTGTGGATATGAGCCACCGTGGCAGGGATGCATCTGAGATGGCCCCCAGGGCAGCCTGGCTTTTCAGGGGTGCAGCCTGATGACAGAGTGTTCTCACAGTGAACGTGCCATTCCAGAAAGCACTGTTTTCTTCATCACGCATTGCTTCACCAAGCACTTCAGAACTTTACCCTCTGTTCGGTGCTGGGGAAACGAAGGGGAAGAGAAGGGTCCGTATGCCAGCGGGCAGACAGACACATTGAGAACGCTGCAGTAACACGGAAAACGATGGTGGCATTGTTGAGGTCCAGAGGAGCAGCCCTTATCTCAGCCTTTATGTTCTTTCAAGGACAAATCCGTTTTACCATTGATTTTTTAAATGATTTTTATTGAATGGGAATGAAAGAAGGATTAGACGATGTTGTTCAGTTGAATGAATTTCCCTTTCAGCTATTCCGCCACTCTCAGGAAAAGTAGGGTTTTGATGTAGTACTGGGACAGGTCTGTGACGCAGGGCGAGAGCGCACTCATGCCCAGGTAGCCGGCACACGCCTGTGGACCGATGCCGCCCTGCTGTTCAAATCTGGATCCTATGGCAGTAAATGTAATGGTTAACGGAGAAAAGAGGATAAAGTGCTGACTTGAAATTGCTTAAATAATCAAAACTGGCACGCAAGCGATGAATACTGAACTCTTAAAAGCAGTACTTTGCAGAAGGAGAAAAAGAGTTTGCAAGAATTGAGCTGATAGTTCTAATTATGTTCTTGCACTCAAACCGACTAATTAGAATGATCCTGCTCCAAAACACACTTCAGAAAATCAGAGTGTGAAGCACGGTGTTATCTACAATTGTCTCCAAATTATTTTGATTTTGTGCTGCCATCAGTAAAATATTTTAAAGCACTCCGCGATATATTTATTTATAATTATATACATTGATAACCACTACATGCATTTTATTTTATTTTATTTCATTTTATTTTATTTTTGAGACGGAGTCTCTCTCTGTTGCCAAGGCTGGAGTGCAGTGGCGTAATCTTGACTCACGGCAACCTCCGCCTCCAGGGTTCAAGCAATTCTCTTGCCTCAGCCTCCTGATAGCTGGGACTACAGGTGTGCACCACCAGGCCCAGCTAATTTTTGTATTTTTAGTAGAGATGGAGTTTCACTATGTTGGCCGGGCTGGTCTCAAACTCCTGACCACATGATCTGCCCACCTCGGCCTCCCAAAGTGTTGAGATTACAGGTGTGAGCCACTGCGCCTGGCTGCACTTTTATTTTTATAAATAACATTTAATATGTCAGAGATACTTTTATATGTGTCCAATTGTATCAATATATTTTTAAAAACATATGTAAAATATAAATGTTAAAAGAATGGTGTCTTAGCTTGGGCTGCTATAGCAAATTATTCTGGACTGGGTGGTTTAAACAACAAACATTTATTTCTCACAGTTCTGGGGGCTGAGAAGTCCCAAATCAGGCTGCTGGCAGATCCAGGGCCTGGCGAGGGCCCCGTTACTAGTGTGTAGTGGGCTTCTCCCCATAAAGAGTGAGCAAACTTTCATTTTGGTTCTTATAAGGGCACTAATCCCATTCATGAGGACTCTCCAATCATGACCTAGTCACCTTCGAAGGCCCTACCTTTTAATAGCATCACCATGAGGGTTAGGATTTTAATATATGAATTTGTGTGCGTATATCGTCGGGGGGGATACATTCAATCCATAAGGAATGGAATAAATTGAAATGAGTTCTAGCATGTCCTTGATACCCTCCAAAGGACTACTATGGACACTCCCTGGGTACGTATATCCCACTTACGAGACCAGTCTAGGAAGCCAGACAGAGTGGAGAGAGCTAAGCTGTGTTTTGAATACTTGGACATCTGGACCACTTAGCCTTTCTTCCCTGTGTCATTCTACATCCACTGATAAATTATTATAAAAGGAATTGGTAAATAGTTCCAAAGAAATCCATATGCAAATATAGAAATATTTTTAAGTGAATTTGCATGAAAGAGGTCCTTAGGTTCATCCCAGCCATCGATGTGAATTCAGCAGAGGAATATAGTCACTGACATGGTTTTCATCCCATTAACTGGGGATGGTCAGGATTGGGTCAGAAACTTAATGCTTAAGAGCACTGGTCCTGTGCTCTTTAATCGGTAGAAGACATGTTTCATTTTTGGACAATAAACAAGGTGTATCTACAAACTTGAGCTTTCTATTTTAGCAACTTCTAGGCATAACTTAGAAATACAAAGTAAAAATGTTTCATATTTTTGGTTGCAGTCCTGAAAAGAAAAGGAGAAATACAGCGTCTGTCCTGGAAAGGACAGGAGAATACAACTTCTGTTTGTTGGAAACTCTTCGGTTCAAAGTTCCTCTAGATGTCAGTATTACATAGGGAAATGAAACTATAACAGCCTTTGGCAATGAATAAAGGCCTTCTTACATTATTTAAATGGAAAAACATATGTGATATATAATTACTAAAGAAAAAAGCAACCTCTCTTGGAAGCTGGCTTCTTATATTCCTCAATACTGACAGCTTCTCCTGTTGGTCAAGTCCAACTCCGAACCCAAAGAATATTGGGTTAGCATGTGGACTTTTCCACCTGATACTCAGATGGCCTCAGGGGCAAACGTGGATCTATCAGTGCTCCATGGAGTCTTACAGCCAGCTGCTCAATTTTATATACTTTTATGAGTAGAAATTGACTGATACATACCAGTTTTCATTATTAAATCCACGTATGCTTATATCATTGCATTCATGCCACACAGAATAAACCCAGAAGCACAATGTCTATTGATACACCAGAAGTTTTCATTTCAAAAGGGAAGAACTGAAAGACAGTTATAAAACACCTTAAACACAATTTGTTAAACTGTCTTATTCGACTAATTTGGATATATGCTTTCAAAATTGGACTTAAATTCTCTCCTTTTTTTGCTTCTCTTCCATGTTAATTGTAATCTTTCGACAAATATTTATCTCTTCACTCTGCTAATTTGTTTTTGATTTATGACCTTCTCTCTTAATCATTTTTCTTATCTCCTGTGGTGCCAACTATGTAGTAGATCTCAATAAATAGGAATCATGTAACTTGGCTATAGTCTTTCTATCTTTTTTTTTCCCCAGAAAGACAGTATAGGGTGGTAGTTAGGTGCACTGGCTGAAGTAGACAGCTGGGTCAGAATCCTAGCTCTACCATTTCTAAACTTTATAACCTTGGGAAATTACCCAACTTCATTTGTACGATGGGGCTAATAGTATCTATCTTAAAGGGCTGTTAGCAGGAGCAACCAGTTAAACAAAGTGCTTAGAAGAGTGGTACATAATGTGTGTGCACAATACATGGTAGCTGTCACCACTACCACCATCATCACCATGACCGTCACCATCACCACTACAACCGCCATCACCACTACAATCATCACCACCACCACCACCACCACCACCAGCAGCACTACCACTACCACCACGACTACCACCACAACCAACACTACTACCACCACCACCACCACCGCCACCACCACCACCACCACCATGACCACTACCATCATCATCATCATCATCACTACGTACTGGTCTCTGAAGTAATCACCAGGGAGTCAAAGATGAACCAGTCTTTTTGCCCACTGGAAGTCCACAGTCTAGTGGGAAATTGACAGGAAAAAAGGCTTAAAGTGTTATAAGGGACACCAGGGGTGGGGATATGTGCTGAGTTCTGTGCAAGCACAGAGGAGGGAGCAATCAGCTTTGTTTGAAGAGGCGGCAGCCCATTGTCCCTGCAGAGGGAAAAGTAGGCAAGTGCCGTCTCTGGACTTTCACTTAAAGAGAAACTCTGAAGCTCTCACTTCCAGCCTTGGCTTTCCACAGATTTACTAAACATGCCTTTATGTTTTAAGTTCACCATCTAAAAAACGGAAATACTCTGAATCCATGGAGCTGCCCCCTGCATTGTGTAAAAGCACATTTGCAGCCGGACATGTTGGCTCACACCTGTAATCCCAGCACTTTGGGAGGCCGGGGCAGGCGGATCAACTGAGGTCAGGAGTCCAAGACCAGTCTGGCAAATGTGGCAAAACCCCGTCTCTACTGAAAATACAAAAAATTAGCCAGGCATGGTGGTACATGCCTGTAGTCCCAGCTACTCAGGAGGCTGAGGCAGGAGAATCGCCTGAACCCGGGAGTTGGAGGTTGCAGTGAGCTGAGATTGCGCCATTGCACTCCAGCCTGGGCAACAAGAGCGAAACTCCATCTCAAAAAAAAAAAAAAAAAAGCACATTTGCAATTTGTCTTGATATCTGTGCTCTGAACTTACATGGTGTTTCATGCTTGCAAATCAGCTGAAGGCAGATTATGTTGTGTTTCAAAGGGGAAATAAATACTTTTTTTGGACATCCACACAATGTCATTAATTTATAATGCAAAACTTTAGAAGTTGTGATAATTTGGGTGGATTGGGCTAATGTTTCCCTTTTATATGGGGTACATTAGCTAACGGTTTGCTCAACTAATTCAGATACTCCAGGACTGTGAGAAGAATGTTTATCCACTTAGGAAAAGGGCCATCTGTTCTAAGCACTGTAAAGGTTCCATTTATAAAGCTGACTTTCATCTCCTACTCTCTGGTTTACAGAGCCCATTCACATGTATCCTCTCATTTCTATTTGATTTATATGTCAACCATATCAAGACAACTTACACAGAGGTCAAGGGTGATGCACACATTATTAACATCCTTTCATCTATTCATGAAGATGGGCTTTTTCCCATAATGACAGTTTTACAGAATTTCTTTGAAAATAGTGAGCTCATTTCAGATACTGTAGTCTATACAGGCTTTCATTAATTCAGACTGTTCTGCCCTCTACATTACTATTAATTTTACTGGGCTTTTTTCTATGTTTGAATCATATAATATAGTAGTTTTCAGCCTGGGGTGACGGGTGATTTTGCTCCCCATTTATAGATCTCTGGAGACCTTTTTGGTCATCACAACTGGGAGGGAGGGTGCTACTGGCATCTGGTGGATAGAGGCCAGTGATGCTGCTGTCCTGTAATGCTCGTGACATTCCCCACCACACGGAATCATCCAGCGCAAGTGTCAGGAGTGCTGAGGTTGAAAAGCCCAGATGTGATATGTAACTTCAATTACTCAATTGTGCCTCCACAGGCGAAGGAGGTGTGGTCAAACGCCGACCTGACGGAAAGGATGCCCGTCAAAAGCAAAAGGACATCAGCCCTCGCAGGTAACATCTTTAGAAAAGTAGATAGTTATGGATGAAGAAAGTTCCGTTATAAAAGTCCTGTTGTTATTCAGAGGAAGTTGCACATTCATAAAGCCCTGTGCAGGAAGAAGTGATGTTTATAAAAAAATGCCCCCCCCCCCCTTTTTTTTTTTTTGCTTGTGTTTGGGTCTTACTAGTTACAAACAAGAAAATCTTTTGGAACCCAATTGGTCATATTTCCTTCTACTTAGCTTTTAAAAGCTTATATCTGCTGATAAAAAGAAACCTGGATAAAGATGCCATTATAGAAAGCCAAAATTATACTGATCACCTGCATTCTCCATTAAAATATTTTGTGTCCTATGGTGGCTTCTAGAGAGATCTACCCAGAAGAATCAGCTCTCCTCTGAGAAAGAAAAGGTTAATAAACTCAACAAGAAAAATGCTGAGAAGACCAATGCCTCTCTAGTTCATAGAAGTTTTGCCATATTTCACACAAAAAGACAAGACAAAGTAGAAGATTTTGCTCCAAGAAATTCTATAAATCCAAGAGAGAATATAGATGGAACAGACATTTCATGCACAGAGAGCCTGAATACACAGGAAAGTGATAGTGCTGGGAATGAACAGCAAGACACTGCAGATAAAAATGAACACCCAGTGTTTGAAGAAGAGAGAAACGGGTTTCATTCTAAGGAAGATACTAGTGGATAAGAAGCTGAGGAGAAAAGAGAACTGGCAACTGCACATGAGACAGTGCTGGACCAATGTCAAAATAAAAATCAATACGTGTATCAAACTAATGGTGACCAATTTCACGAAAGGTAGGGTTACAGCATTGCGTATCCACAGCAATGTTTTCTCTAGAGCTATGTGCCATTGCGGTTTAAGGCCTTATTGAAAGGATAAATGAAGAGAGTTTGAAGCAATGATTTATAACTTGGTTTTCCAGCTTATATGAATTTTTCATGGCCACATTTTCTAGCCATTATTTTTTCTTCTTGCCTGTGATATTTTCAGGCATTTTGTTATTTTCTATGTTTTCTACCAACTGGTAGACAAAGATGATGATTAATAGTGCCCACAGGAATCAGTATTTTTTAAAGATGAAGTAAAACAGTTTCATTTTTAGCAATACAGAACATATCCTTCCTAAGGACAAGAATTAAATAATGACTAGATTTATCCGTAAGTTAAAAACCTAAATCTGAAAAAGCTTACCTACTCCATTATAAATAATAAATTGCCTATTTTCCCAAATATTGTGAGGATGAAGTAAGACATAGATTATTGAATGACTTTCTTTCTCAACTACACAGTTTCACTTATAGATTCAGGTAATATTATAGCCAATTAAAATGAACTACTCTAAGTTATGAGTAATCACATATCACAGTATCTATTTGGAACCAAAAGTATCAAACCACTTGTGTGGTCTTTTTTAGGGATTTAAAACATAATTCTTAGTTCATTTTTTAATAATGTATCTGAAACCTCATCTTGGAGAAATTTAATTTTCCAAGAATTAAGCATAAATATTAATGATTGCTAAGAAAGAAACTTCAACACTGCCAGATGTGTTCAGTAAGGTCGAGAGCTGCTGAGAAATGGAAATTAGGTCAATTCTTCCACTGATAAAGGTTTAGTCTCACTGCCGTTAAGATTCAGAGAGATTGGCTGGGTGCGGTGGCTCACGCCTGTAATCCCAGCACTTTAGGAGGCTGAGGCAGTTGGATCACGAGGTCAGGAGATGGAGACCATCCTGGCTAACACGGTGAAACCCCGTCTCTATTTAAAAATACAAAAAAATTAGCCGGGCGTGGTGGCGGGCGCCTGTAGTCCCAGCTACTCGGGAGGCTGAGGCAGAGAATTGCTTGAATCCGGGAGGCGGAGCTTGCAGTGAGCCGAGATCGCGCCACTGCACTCCAGCCTGGGCGACAGAGCGAGACTCGGTCTCAAAAAAAAAAAAAAAAAAAAAAAAGATTCAGAGAGATTATTGCTTCTTTTATCATGCTATAATTTAATAATTTCTCTCTAAGGAAAGGAAGTGAAAAAATGAAGATCAAATTAGTTAGGTATTCATAAAATGACGGCTTTTGTTAAGTTCCAGTGGAATAACTTGGGGTCACGATTTGGCCAGTGGTGAGATTCCCTGGGACCCTGGTTCTCTACACCCATAGACTTGATGGGGAGCGTGCTGCTCCATTTCCTCCCCAAGCCCCGAAATGGTCACCTCTATCACGGAGCTCACGTCCTCGTCACCAAAACACTGTTTTAAGAAAACCTTCTTAAAGAATTTCCACCATCTGAATGTTTTCTTCTTGAAACTTTGAGAGCTGCAACTGGACTTTACTTCCCAGGTGTGTCAGCAGCATAAGGGCCATTTCTACCCCCACGAATCCCTGGAAGTTCAGCAGTAGGATCCATTTTCTGGAATGCTGACCAGACAGAGTGCCCGGGCAGCAGTAAGCGTGGAGTGGCAGAGGAGCGCCTCGTCAACGAGGACAGCAAAAGGCGCAGAGTAGACATAGTCGGCACAGGGGAAGAACACACGTGTCAGAAGACACAGGCAGCCAGGCAAGCTGAGGAGCTCCCGGGGCCGACTCAGGGAGTCTGCTGGGATGAAGACCTCCCGAGGGCAAGACGGCCTGACCCCACTGGGTAGGAAATGGCTTTTGTATGGGCCTTTTAAGGCTTTTTAACCTTCTCCAGCAAGCATTACAGACTAAATTTCATTTAGTCTAACAGCCTGCAGGAGATATAATGCCATTTCGATGCCGCTTGTGTATTTAACTCCCTCTATTAATCTGAAACAGTGAATGTTATCAAGATGCTTCTCTGGTGACTTCAGTTTTCAGCATATTTAGGCTCTGAGAGGTGATGTCCATATCAAATCAGATTCCCAGAGATTTATATTATCTGAATTTTTAAAAATATTAACACTTGGCAGAGTGCCTGGAACAAGGTAAATGCTCAAGAAACATATGTCAAATAAATGTAGAGTGTTTTGAAAGCAAAGCTGTTATTTACTTACCTCCCTTTGTATTCTTATTGTATGCATGCAGTCGCTGCTTAGTAAATGAATTAACGAAGAATGAGCAGGTTCATGGCAAGCCAATTTCAACAGCAGTAGTCATGGAAAGGTGAAAGAATACTGGGAGGAATATCCCTGAGTAATTCTGTATGTTAGAGCTGGTGCTGATGTGGACGAGCGTTTAAACACTTAAGGTGGAAGGGGAGAAAGTGGGAGAAATTTGATCTCTGTTGAATACACACTTACCTGGTTTTATTGGGTGTTTTATTTCCAGCCAGCCAGGAAAAATTCATCTTTGTGCCTTAAATGTGTCTTAAATAAAGTCTAAGACATTTTGGAAAGTAATATATAATATCAAGCATTTCAACAACATGAAGAAATGTTTCATTTTTCTTTTTTGTCTCTGATATAATTAAAATAATGGATTATATCAGTAATGCATTTTAAAAATGAATCAAACAATTTCTCATGTTTGAATTTGAATGGTCTCAGGCTTGGAAGTATTACCTGTTTGGACTGTGTTGGGTTGGAAATTTTCAACTATTTTGACATTTCTAAAAGTGATCCTGAAGATGGTATGGACAACCATTGAGCCGCCCTGACACTCTTTCTCAGAGGTGTCAGGATCACCTTTATGAGTCACAGCTCATAATCTCAAGTGGAAATCTATATCCCTGGATCATTAGGAATCAAACAGATGGCTCCTTGTATTTTATTATTAAATGAGCACATTTTTACTATGAGGCCCAGGCTTGCTGCCTTAACGAGGTCAGACTTCTTGACAGATTGCCCTTCTGTTTCTCTCACCTTCTAGTTGACATCCCGGCTCCTCCGGCCCCATTTGATCATCGTATTGTGACAGCCAAGCAAGGAGCGGTCAACAGCTTCTATACTGTGAGCAAGACAGAAATCCTAGGAGGGTGAGTAAGGCTGAATGTTAATATTCTCTCAACAAAAGAAGAGAGCGTGCAAATGACTTCGTAAATGTCTGCCTGTCTTGACCTGAGAACTAGAAACATTAGAAACAAACATTTTAAGAAACAGTAACCATTTCTGAAAATTGTCACTGATGCCAGAAAGGTTAATGTGGTGACTAAACTCCACATTTATTATCTGCTTTACTTCCCATGTTGTAATGTCTAAAAGAAAGAAAAACCCATTGTGAGTCACCAGAAGGTTGACCAGCTGTCCAAAGCCATAGTGCAGCCTCCAGGAGACAGAAGATAGAAATGAGTCAACAGCGTGTAGTTTTTGTGGCCTGTATTAGGTCTTTCTGTCATTGCTGCTGGTTTTTCATTTATGTTGTTACTATATTAATTACTATTATTCATTTCAATTGATTACTTTGCTCAGCAAATAACTTATTTTAGGGACATTTAAACACACATTCTCCCTAAAGAAGGAAGATTAAAGGCCTTGCGCGGTGGCTCACGCCTGTAATCCCAGCACTTTGGGAAACTGAGGCGGGCAGATCACTTGAGGTCAGGAGTTCGAGACCATCCTGGCCAACATGGTGAAACCCCGTCTCTATTAAAAATACAAAAATTAGCTGGGCGTGGTGGCGCATGCCTGTAATCCCAGCTACTCGGGAGGCTGAGGCAGGAGAATCGCTTGAACCAGGGAGTTGGAGGCTGCAGTGAGCCGAGATCAGGCCCCTACACTCCAGCCTGGTGACAGAGTAAGACTCTGTCTCAAAAAAAAAGAAAAAAAAAGAAAAGAAAAAAAACCAGAAGGAAAATTAAAGTCCATCAGGGACCCGCTTCCTGCTGGGGGTGGGGAGAGGGTGTTCTTCTTCGTTTACTTCTTTCACAACCCCCCGTGATATCTTGTAACTCAAAGTCTAAATTATAACGTTTGCTGCCATCGGCATGTCTGTGTAAAATAGGAAGAGGAAAGCAGAACATCTGCACGTATACATACAAAATGTACTCACCAACACAAGGAAAGCACGCATCGCTACTGCAGTTCAGGCGTCTGCAAGTGGTCTTCAGGGAGTCCTTGATATTTGTGAAGTCCCTTCCTCCTCTTCCCACTCCGTATTTCTTTGCCCTGTGCCGAATGGAACCACCTGGACTTTCCCTTCCTGATCTGGCTGATCTCATAGAATGCCCCATGAGACTGCGGGGATGGGCTGAGGGAGAAACAGGAATTCCACAGCATGAACTGGCTCCATGGAAGCCTGAGGTATTTGGGCCTTCAGGGACATCAGTGGCAAGCCAGCAACTATTTCTCTAACCGAGAATAGTTATTTGCAGAAGAAGCTTTGAAAGAATTCCCAGGGTTTGTGCTGTTTTTCTGGTCAAGGTTTGTCAATTGCTCCTTTGAAACTTCCTTTCTGTCTGTTTGGGCACCATGGGATCTTCTCTTTGGTACTGCAGTCTAGACCAGCTGCCCGTCAGCTCTCGTTATGGGCTTCACCAAAATTGGCAGCCGTAATTCACTCAGCAAATAAGTGAGAGGAGCATGATCAAATGTGCGTGGATGCCTTCAAAATGCAGACATCACCAAGTGCTGCACCTCCTTTTAAGTGGTAGCAGGTTCAAGATGTAGCAACTTATCTTTTACTTTTGGCAGAAATATTGCAACATGCCAAGGACCACTGGATCCCAAAAACCCTGCCCACAGGGGCAGGCCCCTGAATTTTCCTGGGAGTTCGTCTCCTGCCCTGTGGCCTTGAGGGTATCCATCATCCCTGCTTGCCATGTTCAATGAGCATAAGGTTATCACTGTGTTGAACCAGCATGAATCCTGGGAGTTGGCCTCAACCTTCAGGGCCCTTGCACAATAAATCAGGGGAAAGAGTCAGAAGGTTGAGGGAGCCGGGAAGTCAGACAGTGATGGGCACCACTGCTGGCTCAGGAGGTTCTGCGGCCATTGCTAGTGAAGGGGAGAAACCATTTCCATAACAACCAATTAAGAGGTGGCTGGGGCTGTGTCCGTGTGTTCCCATAGAGACTCTATCTGGAGCAGAGGTTGGAATTGAAGTCACGCCGTGGCTACGTTTATGGTAATCCTGTGTCATTCTCCAAGATTCATCTGCCTCTGTGCTGGGTGTGCAGCCCCACAGTAGGATGCAGCGGCCGCCAGTGCCCCTGCATCTGCCCAGCGTTGCCATGACTTTCATCGCTGAAGTCCTCTGCCTTGTCATAGGGCTTGCCTCGGGTTCACTGTGTTGCTAGGGAAGCTGTTCCTCACTCCCTACTGTGACATCCACCATTGCAGAGCAGGGACACGTGTTCTAGCTTATTTTACTAAATAAGAAATCAAACTAAGCAAATTAAATTTAAAACTGCTCACAAGTGTGCACATCTGTATGTGATTACGTAGGTAAGAAGCTGTCTTGTGTTTATATTCAAGCTCATAGGTGACTTGGCAATATGCAGTCTTGACTATATGGATGTATATGCAGTATTGTTACATATGCAGTTTCCAAAAATAATTTTATATATCTGAAGGTGGGCTCTCTTGTTCATATGCTGGCAAAGCCCAGCTCATAACATTCATATGTATTCAGAAGGATTCTGCATTGTCTGTAAAGGTGGTTCTCAAATGTGAGGGTGCATATGAATCACCCAAGAAATGTGCTGAAATGCAGATTCTGGGGCCTACCCCTGGATTCCTGCCTCAGGAGGTCTGGGGTAGGGCCCAGAATCCTGGATTCTTTTTTTTTTTCTTTCTTTCTTTCTTCTTTTTTTTTTTTTTTGAGATGGATTCTTGCACTGTCGCCCAGGCTGGAGTGCAATGGCGCGATCTCGGCCCACTGCAACCTCCGCCTCCTGGGTTCACGCCGTTCTCCTGCCTCAGCCTCCCGAGTAGCTGGGACTACAGACACATGCCATCACATCTGGCTAATTTTTTGTATTTGTATTTTTAGCAGAGATGGGGTTTCACTATGTTGGCCAGACTGGTCCTGACCTCGTGATCCTCCCGCCTCGGCCTCCCAAAGTGCTGGGATTACAGGTGTGAGCCACCGTGCCCGGCCGAGACCTGCTTTCTTAACAGCTCCCAGGTGATTCTGATGCAAGTGATCCACACACCACATGTTGACAAATACTGCTCTAGAAGTTTACTGAAAGAACTCCTCAGAGGGCTGCTCATCCAGACTCAGCAGGAGAAATACTGGGGCCACTGTGCGCTGTCCACTCGGCAGCTGACCACAGGGCCTCATGCTACGCCGCTTCCTCTTTTTGGCAGAGGGCGTTTCGGCCAGGTTCACAAGTGTGAGGAGACGGCCACAGGTCTGAAGCTGGCAGCCAAAATCATCAAGACCAGAGGCATGAAGGACAAGGTACAGCCTGTGGGAGGTGGTCCCCTCCCTCCCCGCCCCATCTTGACCACACTAATGCACTGTTTCCTGCTTCTCAGGAGGAGGTGAAGAACGAGATCAGCGTCATGAACCAGCTGGACCACGCGAACCTCATCCAGCTGTACGATGCCTTCGAGTCTAAGAACGACATTGTCCTGGTCATGGAGTAGTACGTATCCCCTCCGCCCCCTCCCTGACCTCCCCAAGGGCACTCATGACCGTGACCGTGCCTCAGTAGCTCCGTCCTGCTGTAGCGGGACCAGAACCAAGCTCGCCCCCGCAGACTCTGATTCGCGCGGATCACACAATCACATCAGTTCTAGAAGGGAAACACTTGGGGTTACAAATCTCCATATGGGATTTTATTGCTAAGAAGTAGTGGGACCAAGTAGATCTAGCTTTGTATCTACGCTGTTTGTCAAAAATCAAGCTTAAATATTAGCCAGGGCAACCTGGAGGAAAGTGGTTTTTGAGCTACATCTTACTTTCAACATATTCACTAATACAAAGGTCATGTCAACAACTGGTGATGATTAGGGCTAAGAAGCTTCCATTTAAACTCACCTTTATAAAAACATAAGGACTGGTTAGTTAGAAACCGAGTACAGTCATTACTTGGTATCGGAGAGGGATTGGTCCCAGGATCCCTGCAAATACCAAAACCGGAGGACACTCAAGTTCCTGACATAAAATGGCATAGTCTTTTGCATATAACTTATGCCTATCCCCCCGAGTACTTTAAATAATCTCTAGACTACTTACAATACCTGATAAACTGTAAATGCCACATATACAGTTGTTATACTGTATTTTTTAAAAATTTGTATTATTTTTGTTGTTGTATTGTCAATTTTTATTGTTTTTTGGTCAAACATTTTGATTTACGATTGTTTGAACCTGTGGAAACAGAACCCACGAATAGGGAGGGCCGACTGCAATTCCAACACTGAATCGATATTGTGATTCCGTTTTGTTTTTCATTCCTCAATAAGGCATTTTGAATAAAAAGTATAGTATCGTGGTCCTCCCTTGCCCACACTTTCACTTTCCATGGTCTCAGTTACCCAAGGCCCCAAAATATTAAGTGGAAAATTCCAGAAGTAAACAATCAACAGGTTTTAAATTGCACACTGTTCTGAGTAGCCTGATGAAATCTCCCACCGTCCCGCTCGGTCCCACCCAGGACGTGAATCATCCCTTTGTCCAGCGTCTCCACCACTCCCTGCGGTTAGTCACTTAGTAGCCGACCGGGTCATCAGATTGACTGTGGAGGCATCGCCATGCTTGTGTTCACGGAACTATCATTTGACTTCATAATGGCCCCAAGACACAAGAGTAGTGCAGCTGGCGTGTTGTTATAATTGTTCTATTTTACTCGTAGTTATTGTTGTTAATCCCTTACTGTGCTTAATTTATGAATTAAACTGTATCGGAGTTATATGTCTATAGGAAATAACATAGTATATACAGGTTCAGTACTATCCACAGTTTCAGGCATCCACGGAGGGTCTTGGAAGGTGTCCCCAAGGATAAGGGAAATTACTGTGTCTAGCACCAGCCACAGAGAAGCACTTTATCCCTGAATTCAGTCTGGAGACTTAGAGGGCTGAGACCCTGACTACCTTCAGTCAGGGCTTGGAGTTCCCCTCCTGGAGTTCTTAGGATCCTCTTTCTCTTCAACATCTTTAGAACATGATACATGTGGGCTCACCCCAGAGCTGAAGACACTGAATAAAGGGGCTTTGAGGGCCGGTGTGGTGGCTCCCACCTGTAATCCCAGCACTTTGGGAGGCCGAGGCTGGTGGATCACTTGGGGTCAGGAGTTCGAAACCAGCCTGGCCAACACAGTGAAACCCATCTCTACTAAAAATACAAAAATTAGCCGGGCATGGTGGCGCATGCCTCTAATCCCAGCTACTTGGGAGACTGAGGCATGAGAATCGCTTGAATCTGGGAGGCGGAGATTGCAGTGAGCCAAGATCCTGCCACTGCCCTCTAGCCTGAGCGACACAGCGAGACTCCATCTCAAAACACACACACACACACACACACACACACACACACACACACACAAAAAGGTGGGGAGTTGGCTTGAGGATTTCCATTTGTGAGATTAAAGGTATATAAAATACAGGCCTTCAAGATAAGAATCATCTAAGTAAGATAGTAAAGAAGGCAGAGAAATAACTGCACATACACCTTTCAGAAGAGGTAGCAGAACTTGCACGACAAGTCACTACGAGAAAAGCACATGGTGGTAAGGAAATCGGGACTGAGGGTTTCAGTCCTCTTCCCTCTGCAGTGTGGATGGTGGGGAGCTGTTTGACCGCATCATCGATGAGAGCTACAATTTGACGGAGCTTGATACCATCCTGTTCATGAAGCAGATATGTGAGGGGATAAGGCACATGCATCAGATGTACATTCTCCACTTGGACCTGAAGGTAAGGGTGTTTTGTATCCTGTGAGACGTAAGCCCTTCCCAGCTCTTGCACAGTGGGCCCTGTCTGCTATTATATGCCAGCTGGGGAAATTGGTACAGTCATTTCAGAAATGAATAAACATCTGAATTGTTACCCTCATCTCCTTATTCTCAGCTTCTGTCACTCCCTAATATTTGCATGTTCCATCTTCAGGGGTGATATTCAGATTCTTGTAACTTGCCTGCGTTAAGGAAATCTATATGGCAATGGTTTCCCTAAAAGTTTAGAATGAAAACAGTCACCACCACCACAGCGGTATCCACGTGGTAGCCCTCTCATCAGGACAAGTAGGTGAGAGGATTTTAGCTAACTCAGAATTCCCTAAGTAGTAGTCAACCTTTCCAGGTCTCCAAGAATCGCCGGCAGCTCCTCGAGTCACTCAGGAAGCTCCAGACTTTGGGACTTGTTTTTCTGTGGGTTTGCTGCCCTGTGGAATAGAATCCTATGGAGAATGCAGCAGAGGACAGTCGGAAGGATGGGGCCAAAGTGCTAAGGAGAAGAGAGGGTGGGGTGGGCACCCCACTGCCAATGGTGGAAAGCACACAGAAGCCAAGCCGCCTTTCTTTCTCCTCCTATTGATTGCCCCTTCCCTCTTTACCTCTCTCATGTCTCATTATGAAGTTCCTAGAATCGGACTGTATGTAGTCTTAGTTACAACCAATAAAAGACCTAGGCCCAACAACCCTGATCAAGTCCCATATTGGGACTAAGTATCATAAAGTACGTCTTGTGTGGCTTGGTCATTTTCTCATTTCCCTGTTTGCACAGCGTGACAGTAACATAAAATATACAATCTATATAACATCCCATCTATTGCATTCACTAGGGATTGCATAGCTAAATAAATTTAGCCTCCTGAAATAGGTTTCCATGGGCCTCTCTTCCTATAACTTGGCTTCCCTCACTGTCTTGATTTATGTGCCTTGCCTTTCCCATTCACTTTTGAGCAGGAGGAGAGCAGGAGGAAGTGGTTTATAAAATGACAAAGTCAGAGGCTAAAAATCATTAGCAAAACCCTCACTATGAACTGAGTTTGATAATGCATGCTTTCATGGAGCATTTTCATTGAATGTAGATATTCTGCAGATATCCCTACAGGGATTTGATTGGCAACTGGAACTAGGAGCAAACCTATTGTAAGTCAAATGACTCCATATGAGGCTTCATAACATTGATTGAGGACCTGCAGTGGGCAGTTTTAGTTATGGCTTGGATGCAGAGATCATCATAAAGGTGACAGCTGGATGGGTCCTTAAGGAGCTGCTTTTCTGAAAGCTCCTTGGAAGGAAAAGGGCCAAAAATATTGAGTGATTGTCAGTATGTGGGGGGAGATTATAGGTGACTTACAAACAGTCTGTTTTATATTTTTCTGTTTTGCAAAATTTATCCAATGAACATTGTTTAATTTTATCGTCATAAAAAGGCTAACTTATTGAAATGCCCTCAAAACGGTTTCTCTATATCCTGCAAACTTTTTGATGCCACAGTACTCCTTCACAATTGGACAGCTTTATACATGATCCATCAGTGATTTAAGCATGAAACCAAATGGTTCACGTAGCACCCCCTTCTCTATAATGACTTTTACTCACAAACATCTGTTTTAGAGATAGTTTAGAAAAGGGCTTCCAAAGATATTCTGCCCAACCAAATGTACTATTGAATATTGATAAGGAGACATTATGTCATTTCATAATGTGTTTCTGAATTTCTGATCTCATTGGAACCTCTTCTCCACCTGGACAGGTTGGGGAGGGGAGCCTGATCCCACTAAAGGCTGAGGAACGGGATCCTGGGCATTTGGCTTCTGGGATGGTGCCCTCCAGCTTGTAAAGAATTGGGACTGAGGGTTCTTAACTCTGAAAACTTTTTTTCTCTTTTATAAATGGCCTTGACTTTAAATCAAATCTCTTACTTTCCCAAGACCTCTGTTTTTCTACCCCAGTAAACATTAGGTGCACTTGTAAGGCATTCTGTGAACACTGAGTGGCTGCACTACACCCCATTTTCTCCCCCTGCACCCCAAGACTGTCAGGTCAGCAGGCTAAGGTCTTACCAGGGCCTAGCTCCAAGGGAACACTTAGTCAGGGGTTTTAGGCATTGAGACCAAACTCAGCAAAACCTTGGAACTGCTGAGACTGAAGAACGACTGGAGAGAAAAGCCCTCCTCTGCCGTGCGACTTTCCCATAGGCGTTGAGCAAAGGGAAGCTCTGGAGGCCGGAACGTTCACGTGACAGTGCATGTTCAGTGTGGCTGTTTGAATGGAGCAGGTCAATTCCCTTGGAACTCATCAATCTTGGGAAAAATATTTCTCCAAGAAGGGGAAATTCATACTGAATAATTTAGAGGGGCAGATGTCAGGCCTGAGCGGGCCTCCACAGCACATTTGGGAAGGACTGAAGCAACCTCCTTTTCTTGCTCCCCTCAAGGCCTCTGCCTGAACTCAGGCATTATGGTGAACTGTGAAGCCGTGCAGAGGACAGGCTGGATAATGCAGGGTTGGCAGGATACCCGCAACCTCATCCACCACATAATTAAAGGAGAAAGTACCCACACGGACAAGCCCGCCCCGAAGTGAAAGGCCTGATATGTTTTTTCTGAGCATCGTTGTATTTTTAGTTGTGGTTCAAGGACAATTTGAGTGAATGATGGTTGTTTTCATTGCTAATGTGTCTCTTTCTCCTGGCAGCCTGAGAATATCCTGTGTGTGAATCGGGATGCTAAGCAAATAAAAATTATTGATTTTGGATTGGCCAGAAGGTATGTCTATTTGGACATAGGTGTACGAATGGAGCTGGGGGACATGATGGTTGCCCTTCCTTTGCAAACATATATCTGATCTGCTCTTTGGTTTCATGATCTCATTTATAATTAATTTAACAAAAATTATGTTTGGCCTTAACTTGCTAAATTTGAGACTTGAGTGTTTAGAAGTTTCTATAATGCATGCAGTAAAAAGTATAAAAAATTAAAACCTAATACAGTGAAGTTTATTAAATTAGAAGCCATTAATTTAGCATTTGCAAGAGTTTGTCCCCTCTTTCATATTTGATCCATCTGTACAGAGAAGATTTACTTTAAAAATATTAACAACGTAAGCAAGTTTGCAAAGGGTTCTGGCACATAAAAGATTCTTCAGGGAACAAAGAGTTTACGTGGACACATTAACAATTCAGCACATTAACGACACATATAAAATGGATGTTGTAAATTATTGCAGTACTGTGTTTATTCATTTTACAGGCTTATTCACATCATCCCCATGTCAATGACTATATCAGTTTTCCTCTTGTCATCTTCTGTAATTCAGATGTTCTCATTATTCACAGCAGCTTCTCCAACAACTGGTTCAGCTTTTAAGGTTTCCTAGTATGAATTTTGACTTTTAAATTTTCTGGGGCCTCTTTACAAGTTTTTGAGCCTCTTGCTTGATTGTTTGATTTCCTTCAATGTTTGTTTGTCTGAAGTTTGCTGTATGGCTGAAGTCATTTTGTCTCATAGACTACATCATTTCAGTGTTCACGATTTTTGATCGACACGTCCATCCTTCCACTTTGTCTCTTAAATTGCAGATACAAACCCAGAGAGAAGCTGAAGGTGAACTTTGGAACCCCAGAATTTCTCGCCCCTGAAGTTGTGAACTATGATTTTGTTTCATTTCCCACTGACATGTGGAGTGTGGGGGTCATCGCCTATATGCTGTGAGTAGCTCTCCTCTGTCTCTGACCCTTCTCCAACTCCATGCATATTTTCTGAGGTTTTGCCGTTTTAAATAAAAGCCCCAATTGGGGTATTTAAAAAATAAATAACACTGTCCCATCCTCAGTTGCCTTCTAGGTTTTGTTGACTCCTGTGGGTGAAAGGAGTGAATTCTTTCCCTGCACATCATTTGGAAAAGTAAATGTGTGTCCTCTTCATTAATCACTTTAACTCCTAGGACACAACCTAAAAGCCAAAAATTAATTTAAAAAGCTCACATGGCCTGGCGCGGTGGCTCAAGCCTGTAATCCCAGCACTTTGGGAGGCTGAGGTGGGCGGATCACGAGGTCAAGAGATTGAGACCATCCTGGCCAACATGGTGAAACCCCATCTCTACTAAAAATACAAAAATCAGCCGTGCGTGGTGGCATGCACCTGTAATCCCAGCTACTCGGGAGGCTGCAGGAGAATTGCTTCCAGGAGGTGGAGGTTGCAGTGAAACGAGATCACGCCACTGCACTCCAGCCTGGTGACACAGCGAGACTCCGTCTCAAAAAAAAAAAAAAAAAACTGATCTCCTAAATGACTCAGGCTAGCCTCACCCCTCAGAGGTGACATGCCTAGCGTTTGCCATCTGAGCATGTAGTAGCACTTTGCAAGCTGAAAAGTGCTTTAAAAAGGAAGCTGATATTCATATTCATATTCTGTTATTGCTGCAGTTGTTCAGTTAGGAGTTGGGTGGGGGCGGCAAGCATTTTCTTGATTACAATAATATGTTATAAAATTATGCTTCAGGATTAGGTTATTTTCCTTCTCTCACCTTTAAATGGCACAACCAGAAAAGCAATCTGTATGGAAAGGGGTTGAGGCTGTTTAAAAAATACTCACTCTGGACCCCGTGTCCTCCAGACTTAGCGGTTTGTCGCCTTTCCTGGGTGACAATGATGCTGAGACGCTGAACAACATCCTGGCCTGCAGGTGGGACTTAGAGGATGAAGAATTTCAGGACATCTCGGAGGAGGCCAAGGAGTTCATCTCTAAGCTTCTGATTAAGGAGAAGAGGTAACGCAAGTTCGTCCTGTGCTCCGGGCGCAGTAGGGATGATAAGGAAGCAGGGCCTACCACCAGGGCTGTTCGAATTTATTCTCTTACTAACATCTGTGATGCTTGCGCAAAGTCATGGATAGAATGAGGTTTGAGCCTCTTGACCCAGTCTACTGAGATCTGGGACTGCTTTGGTCATGAAGCTACACAAACCTTTCTCTTCCTGCCATTTATCATATGGCCATACCAGCCATGGACTCCTGCTGGGCCTTAGTTGACTCACTGTCAAAATGGAAGGCTTGGGAGAAGTATTTCTAGGATTCCTTTCACCTCTACTAAGCTGTATATGGTTCCGTGTAGCTGAATCTTTAACTACCATTTCATTTGGGAAACTACTGTGGGCCAGATCATGCCAAGTGCTTTGTAGACATTATCTCTTTTAACTACCACCCCTGACCCCAACTCCATGAGGCAGAAATCGGGTAGAAGATCCCACGTGGTTTGCCCATCATCATACCGCCAGTAATTGGCAGAACAGAGGCTCAAACAGATAGTTCTCCTTCCCCAACGGCCGCACACTTGGCTGTTATTTATTACATGGCCCTCTATTTTCTGTTATGCTAAAACCACATTAATTCAAAATTCAGTGAATGAAAAAGAGTGACATTGAAATATAGGGATTTGCATTTTAGAATCATAGAAGGGGAAGGGCATTGTGATTAACCCATCAAACACGCTGTTTCAGATGGCTTTATACCTGAGCCGTATAATGATTGAAGTAGTTAAGGTTTTCAGGGTCAATAGCACTTGCCTTATCGTTTTATTATCTTTATGGCTTTAAAGTCACTAATACACATGGCTGTGGATCAACAGGTAGAAGGGTGTCACAGGGAGTGGGGAAACAGTGTGGGCAGTGGGTCTGGCACACAGCTTGGCAGGAGATGCTTTCATTCAAGTGTTGATCACCTACTGTGTGCCAGGAAATGTGTCATGTGCTAAGAATAGAGGCACAAATCCAGTCCCTGCCTATAGTAACTCACCATCTAATAAAAGGGATAGATATTTTTTAAAAAGATGTAATAAAATGTGGTTAACACAAAGATAAGGCCATCCTTAGAGGATGAAGAGAACCTAGCCAGGCTAGGGGTATCAGTCCGACAGGAGGGACAATTCACAAATAATGGATTAATAATAATAATAACCTTGGCTAGTATTGTGCCTTGATGGAAAGGCACAATAACAGCCAAGGTTATTATTATGAGCACATTACTCTACCCAAGGCAGTGAACAGATGGAAACTGTCAACCCTTTCAAATCTTTGGAGGACGAGAAGTCCACATTTACTGTGAACCTGTTTTACATGTGTACTTTCATGTGTTATCTTATTTGGCTTCTGGATAATCCTGTGGTCTGTGGAGACCATCATTTTACACATGGGGAAACTGAGGCTGAGAGCAGTGCTGCAGTCACACGGCTATCTCAGAGCAGATGCAGAGGTGGGCCCAGTGGGCTCCAGTGCCGCTCACTCCTTCAGTCTGAGGGCTTCATGAATGCCCAAGGAGCATCAGATGCCCATTTGGGCCGATGGCAACTGGCTTAGAATTCCAGTCAATGCTTGGATGAAACTAAAGCCAAAAGCCAAACACCACTATCATAGAATAAATTTCTGGGGTACAGAAATAAACTTGAAATGTTATTAAGTTTAATTATTAGTACAATGTTATTGTTAACTTTTTAATAGCCAGATTTAAGAAGTTCGACACTAGAGTACAGAATCATCATTTTTCACCTTGGTCAGCCATTGGAATGCTCTGGAGATCCAGTACTGAAAATTTATGACACTAAGCAGAACCACACTTCCAACTGAGGTTGATGGAGGTCACGAGGTTTTTAAAAATTACCTCTGCCTGTTTTTGGCACTATAATGGTGATGTTGTCACCAAGTTCATTGATGTAATAAAGACTTATCTCCTCTTCAAATCTTATACTTAAATATTTTGGTATCTGATGAAGCGATTGCATTGAAGCAATCCTACAAACTGAAGCTTCATTACTGCTTGAAACTGCCTCTTTGACTTCAGATTGTTACATTCACTTACAGGTTTTTTGTTTGTTTGTTTGTTTTTTCATTTTTTTTTTTTTTTTTGAGACAGAATCTCACACTGTCACCTAGGCTGGTGTGCAATGGCACGATCTTGGCTCAATGCAACCTCCACCTCCTGGGTTCACGTGATTCTCCTTCCTCAGCCTCCTGAGTAGCTGGGATTACAGGTGTGCCCCACCACACCCAGCTAATTTTTTGTATTTTTAGTAGAGACGGGGTTTCACTATTTTGGCCAGACTGGTCTTGAACTCCTGATTTCGTGATCCACCCGCCTCGGCCTCCCAAAGTGCTGGGATTACAGGCATGAGCCATTGCACCTGGCCTACAGTTTTTATTTTGAAAGGTTATTTGTTTTAATGTGATAAATGTTAGCACATCAAACAAATGTATAGAACTTAGAATTTAAATATGGTAAATCTATATTATTCTTCCTCATATTATTTCCCAAAATCTTATAAACCTTTGCTGGCTCCAAAAGGATATTGTTTCTTCATAAAAGTATCTAATGGTCCCTCTCTTAATAATTACATCGACTCTATTTCCCTACCTATTTAACTCAAAACTTCTCAATTCAAAAGTTAGTAATATTTATTATTCAAAAGTTTTAATACACAAATTGCTTTGGCAATCATCAAGAATCATTGTAGCATTTTGTTCTTACAATAATAAATATATATTTATTTTTCAACTGACTGATAGGAATCCACTTTACTAAGCTCAGATGTTATACTACAGAAATGGTTACTTATATTTGAAAGTAAATGTTCAGTTATTAACAAGAATTTTTATTATTTGCCTTGTTTGTCTTTACTAATGTTATCCTGATTGGATTCGATAGTCACCTATGCCATCATTGATAGCACACAATTCAAGAGAAGGCAGAATTGACCATGAGTTGACATTCGGCCATCTGGTCTCCCGAAGGCAGAAGCTGGAGTTGAGATTGAACAGCAGATACAGGCCTTCTTCGGTGTGTTTCTACTAATCACCTTCTGAATTTCCTTCTAGTTGGCGAATAAGTGCAAGCGAAGCTCTCAAGCACCCCTGGTTGTCAGACCACAAGCTCCACTCCAGACTCAATGCCCAGGTGACCACGGCTTCTTGCTCTTCCTCTTTTTCTCCTGTCTGCCTGTCTTTTGAAGATCAGATGCTGGAGTCATCTTAACCTTAAATAAGATTCTTTCTCATTCTTTTTCTCACAGACTGCAAATCTTGTGCAGTATTAAATTACTTAAAATGCTTTTTTAAAAAAAATTTTTTTTGAGGCAAAATTTCACTCTCGTTGCCCAAACTAGAGTGCAATGGCACGATCTCAGCTCACTGCAACGTCCACCTCCCTGGTTCAAGCGATTCTCCTGCCTCAGTCTCACAGGTAGCTGGGATTACAGGCGTGTGCCACCATGCCTGGCTAATTTTGTAGTTTTAGTGGAAACAGAGTTTCACCATGTTGGTCAGGCTGGTCTCAAACCCCTGACCTCGTGATCCACCCACCTTGGCCTCCCATAGTGCTGGGATTACAGGCCTGAGCCACTGCACCCGGCCTTAAAATGCTTTTTTGAGCAGTTTACATTTTAAAAATAATGTATTTGTTGTTTAACAGAGTATTTTCAGCATAACTGTTTATTATTAAATTATTGTATCCATTATAAAATGAATTACTTCATTGTCTTATGTGCACATACATACACACATATAACCTATAAACATATAAAGTTCTGGAGAATATATAGTAATGTTCATTCAGGAGAAATATGCCTCCTTAAAACAGAATTCAGAATTCTAAATTCTGTGCTCACCTGGCTTGATCTGCTCTGGGCACCAAATCTTAACTCTAATACTCAGCTTAGTCCGGGTATCTATACAAGTCTATGTGTGGGAGACTCTTAGACTACAGACTGAGTATTGTGAATAACCTAGCCCACTCTCTGTAATAACTTCTTACAATGAAATCTTCACCTACTCTCATTGCCTTAATTACCAGATGTTTATATTCCGACTTCCTCATCTGTCTCTTTGGCACAGATATCTTTCCTAAGCTGCAGATCCATATGTCCATCTGTGTACTAGATGTTTCCACCAGGATCTTCCCATCCCTAAACTAATCTCATCTCCCTGCCCCTTGCCTCACCATCAGTGATCCTCTTAGGGAAGGATGCCCATGGAGCGGCCCCAGCCAGCCCCCGTACATCTTCTTTGCTTCCTTCCTCTCCCTCGAGCCCCCATCTCATGTTTAATTTACCTCCATGTTGTGTACATGATATCCCCTAATTACCTCTGGAAGCTGTCTGTTTCTCTCCATTCCCATGGTGACCGTGGCCTGGGACATGCCTCCCCTGAGTGACTGCAGCCTCCTAACTGGCTTCTCTGCCTCCTTCATGTTGTCTCCATCCAAATAATTGTGGATTATATAATTAACACAGAAACAGATGTGTAATGCCCAAGTAACTTTACTGAACATCTAGGATGTTCAACTGGCAAGATGCATATACAGGCAAGACGCCATGCCAACCTTTGGGCCCACCAGGACCTGTCTGATGTACCTATCAGTTAGGGTGGCTGGTGCCCTGCCCTGGTATAGCATGGGTTTGATACGTTTTTGTTTCTTCCACCTTTGCTCCTCATCCTCTCCATTTCCTGAGGTTTTGGAATGGAACTTTTTCACTGACCAACAAACCTTGGAATGACTATGCCTTAGGTACTCACTTTTTCCACATCCAGTTTTTATTGAAATTAACTTTACTTCTAAATTCAGCATCGGCACTAAGTTTTATTTGTGTCTGAATATACCTTTCCTTGATAATTGGTACTGATGTCAAGTAAAAATAGACTTATTACCTAGTGGGTACCTCACCCAGACTACATAAACTGCTTATTAGGGTTACTAACCTATTTTGAGCCAATTTTCCACCGATGTATTTTTATCCAAGCTTATTGGTGTCCAAATACACTTTGACATGGCAGGATAGTATAGAAACCACAGCAGATAATTAATGACATTGTACAGTTTAAAAAGTGTTTAAGAATATTTTTTAAACCATATAACAACAAGTAAAATCACCTTTTGTATCCATCCATCTGCTGGTACCTGAGGTGAATAGATAGTTCAAGAGTGATGATGGGTTTTTTTTAATGAAAAATAAATTTCATTTTATAAATCTAGTTATTACAGCTATAATTATACAGTATTGTGGAGGTACTCTTCTAACTGCTTTACAAAAAATAACTCACTGACTCCTCATAGCAACGCACAAAATGGGCACATTAGTGTCTGTAGCTGAGAACACTCAGGACAGGGCTGAGCTCTGGAGTCCGGGCAGAGCCTCACTGCTCTGCTCTCCTGCCGGTGATGGGCTGCTGGGTACAGGGGACCTGAGCGATGCTTCCAGAGCCTTTCTTGTACCATACAGTTTTAGTGTTACTGAAAATCAATATTCAAACTTAGTATATCTTACTTTTCAAGGAAATATTGAGACGAAAGTTTTCCAGAAGGCTTATTTTTAGATTAATATTGGTTCTACAAAATCAGAATTTACTTTTAAGTTGAAAATTTAATTCTGATCCAAAACTGTTTACCATTTCAATCTAAATTCTATTTTTGAGTCTTTCGTATATTTTTATTTGTCTCTTTTGCTTCAAGCTTAAAAGCACTTACTATTTTGTAACCACTTGAGTAGCATATTGACTGTCACTAAATTTAAGAAGGATTTTTTTTTCTTAGAAGTTAACATCCGAGAGTTCTCTGCCCTCTGTATTATGCTCAAGGTGACATGCGATGGTTTGCAGCCTTTCTTACGTCCCCAACCCTCTGTGTATAACCTGTTTCCATCAGAAGCAGCTCTCAGCTGGGGTGGGGCAAAGCACTCCCAAATTAGGAATCTACTAGAACTCAGCACCTACTGCAGAATTAGCCAGGGTTCTGGGGCCAGAGGAAGGAACACGACACAAATTTGACATGTTTTCTTTCCCCCAGAGCTAAGAAGCCTCTGACCCTTCCTTCCCATTCTCAGTGTTGTGACCTCGGCTCATGCCCTCTCAGTGAACTAATAAAACAACCCATGAGCTGATATCCAACCTCTACTCACCCTCTTCCCTAATCTATCAAATCATTAGTTCCTTAATTACAGCTCAGACCTTGACTGAAAAAATCTTCACGCGTTTCCCATTGTCCACACTAGACCCAACCCGGTTGCAGTCAGGGCCTGCTCCAGGACACCCCCAGCTCTTCTTTTGAGTCTCGTCTTCACTGCTGCCTCTAGAGCAGCCCACAAGTCAGTACTTGTCTAAGGCCTGTATTAAATGCCCCAGCTTTTCCAATCCTCAAACTGGAGACTCTTTCTCTGTCTTCTTGAATCTCTTTGTGGAATTCACATTACCGTTGTCTACTCAATTTGAAAACTTTTGGAAGAAGCCATTTCTGTGTCTGACTCATCTTTGCAGTCATCGTAGCCCCAGTATCGCAAGTGATAGAGCATTCTTGTGCTATACACGCGTGAGTTTTTGCAAAACATACCTGAGTGTGATGAGGTGCTGAGCTGTTTGGCCCTGACTCTAAGTGAGAAGGAAGGGTCGTGTGACAGGGGCCTCAGGGGAGAGTGGACTCTGAGATGGACTCTGAGGTTGGCCGGTGTGTCTGCCAGGGGGTTGTCGGGAATGTAGGCTTCAAGAACTTCTCTTGAAGAGCACCTTCTCCTCAGTAGCAAGTGATTGTCTTTTCATGTGAGCTCATAAGTCAGGACCTGAAGGAAACAGTCCTAATCCTTCCCATATGCCTTCTGCTTTCCCTAGAAGAAGAAGAATCGTGGCTCTGATGCCCAGGACTTTGTGACCAAATAGTCTACAGGAGGCAGCCATTTGGAAGGTTAGTCTTGGGTCTCCTGAAGAGGTGTCTGTGAAGGCCTTAAGAGATAGGAATAAGAAATAAATGGAGCATTTGCTCACAGACTATGCAGGAAGAAGAGCAGCGTTTTGGCTGGCGTGGAGGGCCCTGAAATCAGACTGCTGTGTTTGCACCCTGCCTCTGCTCTTTCTTACTGGAGGAAGCTCAGTGCCTGACTTACGGGTTGGGGAGAGTCTCACTTCCTAAGCTTGTTGAGTGGCTCCCACGAGATCATTCAAGCAAAGCCCCGAGACCAGAGCCTGGTGCGTGGGAGGGATCAATAACCAGCCCAGGGGGTGCTGGTAACCGTCTAGGGGTAGTCCTTACGACAATGTGTGAGATCAGAGGAAGTGACACCCTCTTCTGTACAGATAGGGAAATTGAGTCTCAGAGTCTCAGAGACTCAGAGACACCCCCACGGCCATGCAGCTTGTAAAGGGTGGAGTGTGGTTCCCTCGGGTGTTTCTGAAGCTGAAGCCCATGTTTTTTAATCCCCTGAGCTGCTTCCTGATCTTGGCCTGCTCTACGAGCCCAAAGAATACCACCTCCCATACACCCTGACACATGCGGACCTCCACCTAGCTCAGGTGTTTTTGGAATTATTGAGAGATGGGTTTACACATGAATACCTTCTTTGATATCAATAATCTAGCCCAATGTAGCCCTAAAGGAGAAGACTAAGAGGCACATGTACTTATGAAGGACTCTAAGAAAACCCAACATTCATGTCCTTGCCGGGGGCCTAGACCCTGCAGCAAGTCAGCTCCCTAATCTTGGGTGGGGAGTCCACAGCCATTTTCACAGCTCCATGCATGTAACTGCACAGCGTTGACGACTTGTGAGTGAGTTCTTGCTGCTCACTGTTGTTTGTTTGTTTGTTTGTTTGTTTTT
This sequence comes from Homo sapiens, assembly GCF_000001405.40. Taxonomy (NCBI): domain Eukaryota; kingdom Metazoa; phylum Chordata; class Mammalia; order Primates; family Hominidae; genus Homo; species Homo sapiens. The sequence goes on along the minus strand of NC_000006.12, from coordinate 2,670,366 downwards.
TGAGATAGAGTCTTGCTCTGTCACCCAGGCTGGAGTGCAATGGTGCGATCTTGGCTCACTGCAACCCCCACCTCCCAGGTTCAAGCGATTCTCCTGCCTCAGCATCCTGAGTAGCTGGGATTACAGGCACCTGCCACCACGCCAGGCTAAGTTTTGTATTTTTAGTAGAGATGGGGTTTCACCATGTTAGCCAGGCTGGTCTCAAACTCCTGACCTAAGGTGATCTGCCCGCCTCAGCCTCCCAAAGTGCTAGGATTACAGGCGTGAGCCACCGGGCCTGGCCTGGTCTTAATCCTTTCTTCTGATAGGTATGTTTCTGGGCCTGAGGTTTTTGCATGTCTTTTTGATTGTACATATTATTGTAAGCTGCCTTGAATTTTTTGTGGAATAAGATGGGGTAGAAATGAATCAGTACCTCATAGTAAAGGCCACACATCAGTGCTAGGAAAACACTTGGCCTTCGGAGGAAGGGACGCTTACATGTGCCCTGTCACTTATTTAGAAATCCACAAAAAGTGAACAGGAAGGCTTGTGCATTCCATTTACAAAGACCATTCTTCTTTGTTAAAAACAGCAAGGACATGAAAGTCTCAATAAGGTAGGAGAGAGTTGTTTCTTGTGAGGACAACCTGGAGCAAGAAAGGACCCTCGTGCCCCCAGGCCTAGGTTATGGCACTCAGCGAGGTGCCCCAGTCCTGCACCGTCAGTTCCTGGATCCACAGACAACCAGGCTGTGTCCACTCCTTCTCTCCCTCGCCTTCACCCTCACCCCCAGAAGCAGTTTTGTCCCTAGCGACCACAAACCCCGAGGGTTTGCCACAAACCACCTTCCCACCATAAGGACCGGAGCCACTCTGGAGGCCTGGTGGGAATGAATTCACTGGGTGCCAGGGTTGCATTCCAAGGCGGGCCTGCTGCCAGGGTCTGGTGGGGGAGGAATGAGGAGGAAATGGTGATGGGAGGGGGTAGAGTCCTTCCACACAGACATGGGTGCCTCGAACCCAATGTGATGGAAGACCACAGCAGCCTACGAAGCGATGGCTGTGCAGAGGACGCAGACAGCAGCATTTGGGCTGGCCACGCTGGGGCAGCTGGACACAGCCTCTGCTGGAACTGCTTGAGGAGGGCTGCTGACAGCCATGGAGCTGGCTGCCTTCCTTTCCTGCACTCTTCAGCCCCATTTGGCCTCAGAAATTCACCTGAGTCACACTACAGGCCAAGGAAGAATCATTTCAGATACACACAATCTGGATGCTTCCTAGTTTGCTTTCTGTTTTGTTTTTGTTTTTTTTTTAATTAGAGACAGGGTCTTGCTGTGTTACCCAGGCTGGAGTGCAGTGTCATCAGCATAGCTCACTGCAGCCTCAAACTCCTGGACTCAAGTGATCCTCCTACCTCAGCCTCCTGAGTAGCTGGGAGAAAAGGCTTTCACCACCACGCCTGGCTAATTTTTAAATTTGTAGAGATGGGGGTCTCACTATGTTGCCCAGGCTGGCCTTGAACTCCTGAGCTCAAGTGATCCTCCTGCCTCTGCCTCCCAAAGCACTGAGATTACAGGAATAAGCCACCATTCCCTGCCTACCTTCTTACTTAAAAAAATAAATAAATAAATAAAACTTAACATAAGATTTTAACTCTGGGAGCAGCCTCATTTGAGAAGTTAGGAAAAAAAAGATTATTCTTCACGATAATATTCCCTGCCAGGATGAGATGGGTTTATGGCAGGATGTATTATGATGGAAACCAAATTTGAGATAATATTGATTTTAAAAATCTGGTGGCTGAAGATTATTCCTGTTGTAAAAGAAAGAGTTCCAGGCCGATAAATAAGGCATAATTCACAATGTCAACTGAGGCATATATGTCTCCTACAATTTGTTAGAGGAAACATTCCCAAAATCAACCTGGTGGCATTTTGTTTCTGGTTACCTCTGTTATATCTTTTGCCAACTTATGGGATATAAATTTAGGGTACTCCTCAGAGCCACAGGAATGATGGCAGGTAGCCGTGTGCGGGCCCCAGGTCAGACGTGGTCATAAAGCACATGGAAACCTCCCCACACCTGAGGCCACATTCTCACTTTGATGCTGGGATCAAGCTGACCAGATGGACGGAGTGGCTGTACTTCAGACGAAACAAAGAGGCCTTGTCCTTCAATATTGCAAATAGTACTAAAATATCTTGCACACATGTCCCCATGTAACAAACCTGCACATGTACCCCTTGAACCTAAAATAAAAGTTGGAAAGAAAAAAAAAATGTCTTGCACAAACTGAAAAATAAAAAGCCCAACTCTGGTTGGTGGTGGAATCCATCAAGAGGTTTCTTTTTTTTTTCCCCCGCTCATATACACACATATGTTATTAAAAAAAATCATCTGTGGTTTTCCTAAGGGGCACAACCAACTAATTATAATTTTAAAAACCCTGCTGAATTAACAAGATTCATATTTTGTTTGCTTTGCAGGAAAACTGCTGTGGTTGCTGCTGCTTCGAGAAAATTTTTTGAAAAATCAGCAGTTCTGATGCCTTGACCCCTGTGATGACCTGGTAGTCTTAGCAGGGGGAGCCCTCGACCCTGAATGTGAACTTGAACTGGAGTGCCTCTGCTGCGCTCAGAGGAACACCCAGCGCTGCGGTCTGGTCTCAGGGCGCAAACACATCCCTGCACCCGGTGGTGGTGATGTTGGGAAGATGTTTCCCTGCCATCTTGAGATTTTTTACTTTTTTAAAAAAATTTTTTGATCTTAGTCACTGGGGCAGGGGGTGCATTATGTCTGCCATTTCTCAAATGACTACAGCTGTGACACTTAAGATTGATTGGAGATTTTAAAACTGGAGGATGCATTTAGAGGGAGAAAGCTACTTCCAGCCATTAGACTATGCCTTTGGAAGGGGCAATTAGATGGCCAGAAAGAATTCTGACTCCCATGCACCCTTGGAGACTTAGTTTCACAGACTCTGTCATTTTGATTTGGTCTGTGGTCACGTGACTACAATGGATAAATAATTTGTTTGCTGGAACAGAAGCCGTCTTTGAATTCTCCAACAAGAGGCATCAGCCACTGTGTCTTTCATTTATTCTGAATTGTCCCCAGCGTGCGTTTTCTTCCATGTAGCTGATTCTGTTTTTCACATCTATACTCCCTGCACCCTTCTGACTGACAGTTCATCCCCACAAAACACATTGGTTTTGAGAGGTGATGCAAAAAGTATCTGTTTATGGTTGGACTTTGAAATTCTGACCTTTGAAATAATGTCAACAGTCACAACAGGTTTCCTCAAGCCCCATTTGTCAACTAAAAGAGACGGATCTGCACCTCCTGGAGCAAGATAGCACTGAGCTTTCAACATTGAAGTGACTTGGGAAATAACATTCAAGCTTCTGGGTAAACACATACAAACAGTGGCAAAGACCAAGTACAGTCTCTCGCCTGTGCTGTCTCATGGGACTCAATGGTGGTGAAGAAATCTCAATCGGACACCAGAGGTGGGGGCAACTCTGCAAGCTCACCTGCTGGACGTGAGAATGTTGGAACGTTCCAGTTGGAAGGTTCCTATGCCTAGCCTGTGTGCCATTTCATGGCAGATATGTAAGAAAGGAAATGGCCCTACTGTAGACAGCTTATGGGGCCCAGAAAGGCACTGGGCTTTAAAGAGCGAAATGAGTGTGTCATTTCCACATGAAGGAGAGGCAAGGAAAAGCCCCACAAAATTCCTGTTACCCGCTGAACTCCAAGCTCACCAACCAGATTCATGAGCTTTCTCACATTTTCCATTTCCAAATAACTGTTGTGTTGAATCAGCTGTGTTAATGCCTTTATTCTTTGTTTTTTTTTTTTAGACGGAGTCTCGCTCTGTCACGAGGCTGGAGTGCAGTGGCCCCATCTCGGCTCACTGCAACCTCCGCCTCCCAGGTTCAAGCGATTCTCCTGCAGCCTCCCGAGTAGCTGGGATTACAGGCGCACGCCACCACGCACGGCTGATTTTTGCATTTTTAGTAGAGATGGGGTTTCTCCATGTTGGCCAGAATGGTCTCAATTACTGTTGTCGCAATAGCAATGAAAGGCATAAGAATTACTTGGTGGCCTCATGAGGGATGGCAGTTTCACTTTGCATCAGCTTTCCCCCATTATCTCTCAGATCCACTTAAGGAATCCTTACAGCATGCCGTGAATGTGTGCAACATCCTTATTCTCATCTTTAAGGTAAGGAGGAAGTAGAGATAGAAGGAAATACGTGATTTGGTGAAGGCCACATGCGAATTTTGTGGTCGTGTTAGTTATAAAACTGACTCCTTTCCAGCCTTTGCTCTTACATTATGATGCGTTTCTTTTTCTCCTTTGGCCTTGCATTTATCCGAGGTTGGTTTCTTATGTTCCTGTGATGTGACTATGCTTAAGTGTTTAATTTAGTTTGCTTAAAACACACACACCACACACACACACACACACAAAACCCTGTGACTGGAGTGTTATATTACTATGCTATCTTTAGCTGATGATATTCATTGAGCCTGGAAAAATACAAGCCAGTGCATGCATTAATACTTAGTTAGACCGCAGAGAGCTGGCATTCACTCAAATGCTAAACAGGACACAGGGGTCTGATTTGAAGCCCCTCGTGGCAGGGCGTTTTCTGTCCTGTGGTGTGCATTCTCTACCAAATCAAGCAGGAGATCTTTTGCACGACGTGCAATTTGCATCCACCTTCCCTTCTGACTCAGGTTGGCAGATAAACTGTCCCCAGACCCTGCCACACATGGAAGAGACAGCTCAGGCCAAATACAGGCATGATTTCTTTGCCAAGTTAATGCACTGATGACCCTGCAGTGAGTGGGTGTGATTTTTGTTTTGTTTTGAGGTTTAGAAAGGAGACTGTACTTTGAAAATGGATCTTGTTTGATTCTGTAGTTAAATTTCCACATTTGGAATGGGAAGGCATCTCCATGCCAGCAGGGTGCCTTTTATATGAGTGCTGAGGGTAGTTTGCATTGCAGAGTTCATGATTACAGTCTAGAGTTACTTGAAATGGGAGATTATCAGTCTAGTGTTCATCCCGCCCCTGCTCCATGTCCTTGTGTGGCTGCTCCAGCGAGAGCTGGTAACTAGGTAGACTGCTGCTCTAATGGGGAAAGGGGGCTTTGCAAAGCCGAGGAATCAAGCCAGATGCGAGCATGGACTCAGAAAAGCTGAGTCTGGCTAGACCAGGGCTATGGAGATCAATTTTTCCAACAGGTCATTAGGATTTGGGAGGCTGTATTTCTCCTCCACCCTCTTAATGGATGGTATGGCTTTGCTCACTCACTAGGCAGTTCCCACTTTCTTTAGCAAATGGAGGAAATTAAGCACCGATGTAGCACTTCCCACTGCCTGGAGAGAAATAAACCTCGCAAGTTATTAAGGAGAAGGCATGCCTCATTGGTAATTTGGAAGACACCAACACTTACCCAGAATCTGTTGCTATTTAAAAATCAGGGAGAGGAGGGCACATGTCCCCATTTGCTACATTACAAACTTTGGACGAGACTCTCATCTGAACTAACTTGGGGAAACAATTTCTAGGTTGAAGCTGGTAACACTCATGTCTGTTGAGTGCCATAAGTTTGTTTTCAGTTATTTCCTCTAACTTGATATTAATTTGCTTTCTTTCCTCAAAAATGTAAGTAGGCATGTTGCCATTGTTGTGGCTTGCTTTGATGTATGTTTGGAAAGATGTGTGAATACTTAATTTTTATCCATTTTATGGAAATTAGCTTAGCAATTTTTTTTTCTCTTTTAAGAATCAAAATATGGATTTGATACTAGGAACAGAATCTGCTCTTTATTTCATTCCTTTTTTGTCTCTTCTGCTTCCTCTGCCCCTCCCCCAGCCACGCAGCACGGGTGCCAGTGTGCATGCGTGTGCTGGGGGCCAAATGACAGAACCCCGGTTGAAAGTCCGCTTGTAAAAGCACAAGTGAGAGGCAGCATCAGGCCCCTGGAGGGCTGTGGTCCTCGGACTCGGTTCTTTCCTGTCCCCTGGCCGTCCTGTCATCCCTGTGTGCTGCAGCATCACCACGGCCTACTTCCCAATATCCACAAAGCTTCGCCTTTGCTTTTGCACTCTCTTTTACATTTTTTTACTTCTTTCCTTTTTCTTAAGTTCGGATCCAAGTTTGTCTTCTTATCCATCACCATGCTCCCTGAAAGCCTTTTTGAGATTAAGAAATTTTCTTACCAGGAGGCAACTTTCCGTCTGTCCTAAAGGGAAGTGGGTGCTGGATTTATTAGATATTGGGTTCCTGGATTAAGATGACTTCCTCACATAGCTTGGAGTCTGCAGTTTCTCAGTTAGAAGTGTTCTATATTTCTTTTTGCTCCATTTTAGTGCGCTGTGCTTTGTATAAGTGGTCTTTCTATGGGCAGTTTCACCTTCCATGAAGGCTTATAACTCAACCACTACTACCCATTCAGAAGAGCAGAAAGCATCTGCTGTGTGAGCGTTCATATGTTACCTAATGTGTATTTTGCTGTCGTCTCAGCTGATAGATGTCAGTGAGTCTTTCTGACTAGGTTTATTGGTGTTGATAAGAAATTAAAAAAAGGATTCATAACGTGGTGATTGTGTCTATCATGTATATTTTAAATTTCTGAACGTACTTTCATTTAGCTGTTTTTCTTTGCTTTCTAAAGATGTATAACAATCATGTATATGTATTATATTGAAGAATAAACATGGACCTTATTTATCTTTTGATTAATGGGCTCAATCATTCAAAGACATTGCAGTAGTCTGTTCTCGCATTGCTATGAAGAACTACCTGAGATTGGGTAATTTATGAAGAAAAGAAGTTTAATCGGCTCATGGTTCTGCCAGCTGTCCAGGCTTCTGCTTCTGAGGAGGCCTCAGGAAACTTGCAACTCCATAGAAGAAGGTGAAGGGGAAGCAGGCACTGTCTTCACATGGCCAGAGCAGAAGAGAGAGAGAGAGAGACAGACAGCGAAGGGGGAGGTGCTGCACACTTTCAAACCACCAGATCTCATGAGAACTCACTCATTACACACTTTCAAACCACCAGATCTCGTGAGAACTCACTCATGACACACTTTGAAACCACCAGATCTCGTGAGAACTCACTCATCACAAGAACAGTAAGGGGGAAATCCACCCCCATGATGCAGTCACCTCCCACCAGGCCCCTCCTCCGACAATGGGGATTACAATTCAACATGAGATTGGGCAGGGACACAGAGCCAAACCATATCAGACGTGGACTTGGCAAATACAATGCAAACTCCTTTACTTCAGGTCTAACATGTCAATTCCTGTGACATTCAGAACCCAAGCTACCTAAAAGAGCCTCACACTTATAGGGGCCCCAGCGCAGTCCACGGTGACACTGGCCAGCCACGTCGGGGAAAAACAACTCTCCCATTTGAAAACATGGTGGTTCCAATGTACCAAGACAAGGTTCAGGGTGTTTTTTTTCCCCTATTAATACAAAAATATTGACTGAGATTTATGTAAAGTGTCTAGTTTCAGAGGGTGTTTAATAAATTATTAAGGCAATTAGTAGCAATTCAACCCTATTCATGTCCGTTAGTGATTATTCCTTAAGCACTGAAAAGTGTCTGCTTCCAAAGTCCCAACACTGAAGGACCTCAGTATAAAGCGGCCACCACAGGCCACAGGATCACTTTCTGGGCCTGTTTCTTGTCTGGAGACGGGACTGTTCTGTCCCAGGCCTGCATGTGAGTCTGTGGTTGACACCTGGATCTAGGCCAACGCTCCTCTCTCAGCCCAGCAGTGGTCAGCTCTCCCAGCGGCAACAAGACCCCCCACCCTGGTGGGGCTTGAGGCAGGCCCACTGGATTTTCCATTGCCCATGTTGCAAGCAGTGGGGAGGGATGGAGCTTTGTGTTCTCACATGAAGCAATCTCGTCTTGAATCTAGTCTTTTCCCACTCAAACTTCTAGGTGAGGCATTCTGACATCTTCCCCAAAGTGAGGAAACCTTCTTGGCCCTCCCTCCATTATTGGTGCAGTTCTAGCAGATGACCACACCCTTTCTCGGGAACAGATTCTCAGTGCTGGAGTTTCAGAGCCTGCGACTCAGAGAGAAGGGTCAGCCATCTTCTTCCTCCCTGGCCCTTCTTGGCCTCTCCCGGGGTAAGGTGCATTGCAGGGGGTCTCCCTCACCATGCCCACAGAGGGAGGCGCTGAACCCCTTCACCACTCGCCTCCCCACTCCCCATTTGGAAAGGGGACACCAGTCCCACCCCATGATCCGGAGCCATTAGGAAGACTGGTTCTCGGTCCTCGCCCTTCAGTCATTCCTCTCTCCCACTCCTAATTTAGGGTTTCCCTGAGAGCTTGTAATCAGCGCTCTCCAAACAGCACTGTGGGGACATAGGATCTCATGAAAGATACTCATCTGAATTTGGCTGGCTCAGGACCTCAGAGCTCACATGGTTATTACTAGAGACCTCCAAAATATTCTAATACAAGTCTAGCATCCAGTGTGTCAGAGAGAATGGGCTCTTCTGGCAGGATACACTCCCACCCCCTGGGCACCTCCCTGGCCACTTTCCCAGTCCACCCTGACAGACACAGCCCCCCCCGACAAGGGTGCAGCTTCCTGGCATCCCCCAAGAGGCTGGCCCTCAAGGGAGCAGCGATGCTGTATTTCCTGGAGTCCCTGTCAGGCTAATGCTGCATGCATAAGCCAGGCAGAAGCGCAGAGGTGCCCACCACTCAGCCTTGCTCAGACAGACTCAGGTCAACTGTCTATCACAACTATTAGAATCTTCTCCGGAGCCATGGGAAGTGAAGGCAACAGATCTCCCCCCAGCCCCCACCATCTGCCTGCTAGGTGGTGTTTGGTACAATGAGGGCAAGGTTGAATTCTGCCAGGCTGACTTCTGCCACACACCCAAATGATGAGTAGTCAGGACAGCCACAGTTAGACAAACTGTTGGGGGAGCCTAGTGAAGCCTCCGCTCTCTGGCCTTTTAGCCCCCTCTGACAGCATCTTGCATGAAAGGTTGACTCCTGCCTTGTGCACTCAGGAGACCATGTTTTTCTCAGTCACCAGTTCACAGTTCATGGCTGGGTCAGTCCTGATGATATCCTACACTCTCTTTTCATATTCTACTAAATTATACTAGGATATTATTTATCAAATCACTAATAGCTACTGATGTTTAAGTACTTTACTATGTTTCTAAGCTCTTTCTCCATGTTACCTCCTTTAATACTAACAAGCCAGCGAGACAGTTAAACCCAATTTACAAATAAGCCCCTGATAGTGAAGTTGAGTAACAGACCCAAGGACATATAGCAAATCAGTAGAGGAACTGCAATTTTCATCCGGTGAGTCTGACCCGAAAGCTCATGCCCTTTACCCACAGGAACAGTCTCTCACACTTCAATGTGCGTAAGAATCACCTGTGGATCTTGCTAATGAAAAGATTCTGATTCAGAAGTTCTGGGCGGGGCCTCAGACTCTTCCTTTTTAATAAGCTCCAGGTGACACAGCTCTGGCAATATCTGTTCTGAGTGAAGCTTGCAATTCTGATCACAAAGTCCAGCTACCTGTCTAGTAGGATCAGATGACAGCATCCCCTATAAATGGCTGGACATAGGACTCCATGGAATTCTAAGGCCTGGGACCTCTCCCAAGACCATAGGCTCCCGAGCTTGCCAGATTCTTATTATATTAAAATTATGTTATTATTATTATTACATTTTTATTATTCATTTCAGGGTGCAGGTATCTGTACAACATTTCTAGTGCATTCAAACACTTTAAACTCTATTAATATTTCACAAATTTTAAAAAACTTATTTTTTATAATTTTCCAGTGTTAGACATAAGGAGAGAAGATGAGATTGTAAAACCCAGTCTGCTTATGCTAATTTTAGATGCTACCTACCAGCTGCTGGAGTGTACCTTCTTGATGAAGTTGACATTCTTTAAATGCTAACTAACTTCTGTGCCAGAGCATTTTATAACAAACCATGGACAAACTCATCCTGTTTGCCACAGCACCTCGCACAATCCTTCCTGAAAAAAGCTCTTCAGCTCTGCCTTTGGCCCCTCAGGTAGCGGGTTGAGGAACACACAAGTCCCTGAGAATGGGCCACACATCTCTTTGCTCTTCTTTCACTCCCGTGAAGGCTTGTTCCCCCAAAATACACATCTCAGAAAGCCCATCAGGCCTGTCTGAATCCCTGCCCTTTACCTATAGTGCCTGTCTGCTTTCTAGAGTCAGCTGGCACCCATGAGTCACCACAGAACCATTCCATACGAGCACTTGCTGTCATTCTTAACAGTCTGATGATGCAGGCCCCTCAAGCAGCTATGAAGCAGCAAGGAAGGATCTAGGGCCATGCCCATCCCTTCCAGAGGACTGGCCCTTCTGAGTTCCCATTTCTCTTAAAACTAAGATCTCACGATTTTCTGTGGAGAGCTGAACTAGTGATGAGCAAATACCCTCCTCAAGTAACCGTCTGGCTCCTTCTTCTCCATCCCTCATCCCCCATTTCGTTGTTGGGGGCCCTGGCTGGGATACACTCATACTTCATAGATCTCACTGGACTTCATCATTGGTGTACTGGACTGCTGTGTTTTTCTTCTCCAGTCTCCTCCACACTGATGATCTTTTTATTTTTAAAAGACAAATCTAATCAGATAACTTTAAAGGTCAGAAACTTAGGCTCAAAAAATGTTGAATTTCTTAGCGTCATGTTTAAGATGCCTGTTCATGCAGCTGGCCTTACTTTTCAATGTCATTTGCCAGATGTTTCCCATCCTGCTCCACACTAAAGACACAGGAATGATGTCCTAGGCCTCCAGCAGGGTCCTAATACGGCATCCCTAGCCCAAGTTGGCCTACAGATGTGGATCTTTTCGGACACCATGACTGCTGAAATTTCGGATTTGAATGCCTTTAGAATATTCAGGCACTAACAAAGGCTTCGGAACAATTTGTAGTGTTATTTCTCTTTATCACAACTAGTGCCAACAAAGACCGTGACTGAGACAGGAGGATCCATTTCCCAGATGGCTCGCTTGCATAGCTGGCAAATTGATGCTGAGGTGGTTGGCAGGAGGCCTCCCTTCCTCACCAGGTGGACCTCTCCATAGGGCTGATCGTGTGACAGCTGGCTTCTCAGAATGAGTGATCGAGGAGAGAGTAAGACAGGAATCTCCACGTTTTTATGTCCTAACCCCAAGCAGCCGTCACACTCTCTGATTTCCATGATGCCCTATTCAGTGTGGGAGGGGACTATACAAGGTACGAAAAACAGGAAGTGAGAATCACTGGGGACTACTTTGTAGGTCAGTGATCATTGTCTATCCCCAGCTCCCCAATGACACATGTCCTTCTCCATGCAAGGCACGGTCACCCACTCCTGGATCCACCCTCTGGACTCTCGCTTTCACCTTCTGAGTCATTCTCCCTTTTCCATGAAGGCTAGTCTCTGCATGTGGCAGTGTAGGTTTCTCAACTTACTTCCTGCTGGTGGAATAGTTTGGGAGGACAAAGGCCTCTTTTCTCTTTGTGGTTGTTGCCTGTGTCAGTCCAAACTGGTGGTGCTTCAAGCAATGTAAATCAAAACTTTCTAGACCTCCTGCGAATTTTACTGAGGTTCACTTCATTAGAGAAGGACTGCACTCACCATTCAAGATAAGCTCTTCTTTACCTTGGACTTCTGCTGGGCCTGTTGAGGGCCAACACCCTTAAACACCTTGGAAGCCCTATTGTTTGACTGAATAATTCTCTAATGCACTGTCTTGAATATTTCTGAAGTCTTAACAAATAATTTTAAATTCTTGGCTTCATGTTTAGACCATGTTTTCTTTAGCGTGTCCTGGATTTGATCTTTACCTGGAAGTCATTTCTTAATTGTACCATCATTTGTTGTCCCTAGAGGTTGGAATTTTTTTTAAATATATTTTTTCTTTAAAAGTCCTTCCTTTAGTTTATCTCTTTCTTCTCACATTTTATTATAAGCAGCAAAAAGAAACCTGGAAGAGTTTCAGCACTCTCTGGAAACATCCTTAGTTAGATCACACAATTAATTAGGTAAATTTTCTACTTTCTCTATTATTGCAGATGACAGTGTTGCTAAACTTTCTACCACCAATATAACAAAAATCTTTTTTCTGCAGTTTCAAATAAAATTTTCTTTACTTTTCTTCAAACTCTCACTCACAACCTCCTCAAAGATCATTAAGATGTCATGAAACACTCTTCAAGCCTCTTCAAGCTTTCACTAATACTTTTCTCAAAGTCTTTCCAGCTTATTTCCACAGCCTAGTTCCAATGTCTCTCCCACCTTTTAGGTTTTTGTTATGGTGGTACTCTTCTGAGTATTGTCAAATCCTGACAACATCAGTACAATAGTCTTGTTTATAATTCTCAAGCTTTATACATCCTCTTCTCTTTGTCTAAAATATTTTCCACTAATCTTACCTGACAAACACCAAAATCGCACCATCCTTCCCAACCCGGGGTAAAGTCCTGATGTCCTTATCCATCTCCTATTAATATAGGTTACTTTAATAGCATTTGTCACATTATTTTCTAACATTATGCTTTTTAATTTTGTCCTGGCTTCCCTCCCCACCATAAATTCTTTGAGTACAGAAATTGGGGTATTATTTTTGGCATATTCATCCGTTTTCCCCCCAAGTCTCAACAGAGACATTCTTTGAGTGCATATCTTTATTTTGCTGAATTTGAAATGAGAACATTTCAACACTACTAGCAAGACTTATTGAATAAACTTCCAAACTGTTTAGAATTATTTTTTCTTTTGATTTAGACATTTTTGTTCTTTCCACGTCTCATCAGGTGATTGATAACAAAAGTACAGAATGTTATGAATAATGTTTTGTTTTCCATGTGTATCCACAATTTTAAAATAGTTCCTTTATATACATATGCTTTAAAATACATCAACTTGAGAACAACCTAACATGAAAATTCATAATTCTTGCTAATTAATGTCTGAACTTTCCCCCCCCCTCAATTATTTCACACACCTGTTCACAGTAAATTTTCTCAGCAATTTTCATATCATATTAATACTACCCAGAACTTGGACGCACACCTGAAGTTTTTCTGAATTTTAATTATTTTCAAATTAATTTTAATATTCTGGATAATTTCAAGCTAACCCATATGTTTAATAAAATTGAACTTTATATTTCAAAAAATGATGAAGTATTCCTAAGGTTTCAAAAGATCATGTATGGTCTGCTTTTAGAAATGCTTTTAAAATAGTTTAAAAAAAAATTCTTTCACCTTCCTATTTGTCCCAAATCTTATTGTTTCATGATTAACTTAGCAGCTTGTCTTGTGTGCAGTAGCTCACAGATTTCCAAGATGAAACATGGTTTTCGCTACCCTGCCAAACCTACCTTCTGCCAACTTCCCTTAAGTCAGATTCCACGGTCTGGGTCACTCTTCTGCTGCAACAGTTTTCACTTTCCTTCTGCCTCACTCAACAGTTCTATCACTCTAGGCTGTGCTGTCTTACAAATGTGGCTAACATCCAAATGTTTTTTAAAACATCAGATGTTGCTCGGTTAAGGTGCTTCACAACATTAGAACATTGTTAATACCATAAAGAGGAACAAATCAGATAATGCTTGTTCCTGTTGTGACAATCTATTGGGACTTGTGATTTTCACAATAATACCGCTATAAAGTATAGGATAAGAGGAGGTCTTGTTTATATTGGCAAAATGAGGTTTCCATTTGCTCAGAGTAAGTAGTAAATCGTTTATTGCTTAGCCTTTATACAGTAGTTTATATTGCATAGGAACTTAACAGTCATTTTTATTAGTGATTGCTACCTATTGTGTAGTAATAGTACAGAGACACCTAGGGAAGCAAAAAAAAAAAAAAAAAAATCAGGCTTAGAGGGTATATATGGTACATGGATTCTCTGTCTTTAAAAAGTTTATTGTATTTCTTGTATGAACTTATGCACATACACATACATACCTACACTTATGAATAGAAGGTCTACTGTTAAAACTGTGGAGAAAAATTCAATTAAGATCAAATAGAAACTGATTTAATCAATATAAACTTGAATTAAAGGGCCAAACTCCTAGACCAATTCTTGCCTACTCATCATTTCCAATTTCTGTTTATTGCAATAGAGGCTGATATAATGATAACCACCTGGAAACAATGAGATTTTGAAGATACTTACTTTGAAATATGCCTAAAACCTATACATTTGAATGACTTGTACTCAAAATAGTCATCCTTGATGGCTAGGTACTTAATCCGATTATGTTTTCTCTACTTCACACATATTTGAAATTCCTCTACAGGAACCACCCTGTGTTCTGTTTTGTAAACGCCTCTTTGGAAATCCGTATAATTTATTTAATGACCACTCTTAGTGTTTAGCCCAACAATGGGATCATGAGCCTCACTAATCACCTTATTCACTAATGCATCTTCAAATTACTTATGCTTTCAAAAATTACATACAACATTCAAATGTAAAGAACTACCATCATTCAAGATGTTTTTAAAACTATAATGGCTACCCTAAAAATTATTCTGGAAAATTTCCAAAAAAGTTTTCAGATATAGTAGTACAATTGAACAGATGTAACTTGCAAGTTACTTCCATAATGGTAACCACACTCATTTCCAGTACGTGTGTTTACAGATAGAAGTTTCCCTTTAACCACTGCTTTAGCTGCATCCTGTAAGTTTTGACATATTTTGTTTTTATTTTCATTCATCTCAAAGTATTTTCTAATTTCCTTGTGATTTCTTTTTTGGCTCCTCGGTTATTTAGGAGTGCATTGCTTAATTTCCACGTTTGTGAGTTTTCCTAATTTCCTACTGTTATTGATTTCTAGTTTAATGGCTTTGTGATCAGAGAACATAATTTCTATAATTTCAATCCTTTTAAATTTATCGAGGCTTGTTTTCTGGCCTAACATGTGAACTGTCCTGGAGAGTGTTGCTTGTAGGCTTGAGACAAATGTGTATTCTGCTGCTATTGGATGTGGTGTTCTACAGATGCTTGTTAAGTGTAGTTTGTTTGAAGTACTGTTTAATTCTTCTGTTTTCATGTTGATCTTCTATTTGTTTTATTTATTATTGAAAGTGGTGTGTTGAACTCGCCAACTGTTATTGTGAATTGTTTCTCCTTTCAATTCTGTATGTTTTTGCTTCATGTATTTAGGAATTTTATTGTTATGCATATATAAATTATAATTGTTATCTTCCTGATGGATTGACCCTTTTATGATTAAGAAAAGTCCTTTGTTTTTCTAGCAAAAGTTTTTGTCTTAAAGTCTATTTTGTCTAATAATGGCATAGCCACTCCAGTTTTCTTTGGGTTACTGTTTGTATGTATATTTTTTCATGCAAACTGACTTTTAATCTAAAGTTTGTCACTTCCAGACAGCATATAGGTAATCATATTTTTTAAATGTCATTCTGCCAATATCCACCTTCTAATTGGAGTATTGAACACATTTGCATTTAATGTCAGTACTGATAAAGCAGGATATACATCTGTTATTTGACTATTTGTTTTCCATATGTCATAACATTTCCATCCTCTATTTCTCTATTACTATTTCATTTTTTATTAAACAGATTTTTTTTTTTTTTTTTTAGTGCACCATTTTGGTTTCTCAAAGTTTTAGCTACATTTTTCTTTTCTTTTTTTTCTGAGACAGAGTCTCACTCTGTCACCCAGGATGGAGTGCAGTGGCATGATCTCAGCTTACTGCAACATCCGCCTCCCAGGTTCAAGCAATTCTCCTGCCTCAGCCTCCTGAATAGCTGGGGTTACAGCTGTGCACCACCACATCCAGCTAATCTTTGTATTTTTAGTAGAGATGGGATTTCACCATGTTGGCCAGGCTGATCTCGAACTCCTGACCTCAGGTGATCCGCCCACCTCAACCTCCCAACGTGCTGGGATTACAGGTGTGAGCCACCATGCCTGGCCAGTTTTAGCTACATTTTCTGAATTATTTTCTTAGAGGTTTTTCTGGTGATTACAATTAACACCTTGACTTACAACAATCTATTTTAGATTAACATCAACTTAATTTTAATAATAAATAAAGCTTTGCACCAAATAGCTCTATGTCAACTCTCTCTTTTATGTTCTTATTATCAAGCAAACTATTAATATGTTTTTATACACTATAAGCCCATTAACATAGTTTTATAATTATCACTTTACACAGCTGTCTTTTAAATCAGGAGACAGTATATTTACCTATGTACCTCTACTGGTGTTCTTTATTTCTTCATATAAATTTGAGTTACTGTCTGGTGTCTTTTCATTTCAGCCTGAAGGATTCTCTTTATTATTTCTTGTAGGGAAGCTTGGCTAGTAATATATACTCTCAATTTTTGTTCATCTTGGAATGTTTTACTCTTTCTGATATACAGATCACCAGATGTAGAATTCTTGGTTGACAGTCTTTTTCCTTCAGCACTTTGAATATGCCATTTCACTGCTTTCTAGACTCTGTGGTTTCTGAAAATAAGTCAGCTGTTAACCTTATTGAGGATCACTTGTATGTGATGAGTTGCTTGCCTTCTCTTGCTGCATTCCAGATTCTTTGTCTTTGTCTTTTGGCAGCTTGATTGTGATGTTCCTAGGTGTGGATCTCTTTGAGTTTATTCTACATGAAGTCTTTTGAGTATCTTAATGTTTTCCATCAAATTTTAGAAGTTCTTGGCTATTATTTCTTTATTATTTCTTCTTCTCTCTCTCTTCACTCTCTCTCTCTCTTTCTCTCTCTCTCTCTCTCTCTCTCTCAGGTCGGGCTCCCATTAAGCATATGTTGGCATGCTTGAACAATCTCCACAGATATCTGAGGCTCTGTTCATTTTTCTTCATTCATTTTTCCTTCTGTTCCTCAGACTGGATAATCTCAGTTGATCTATTTTCCAGTTTGCTGATATGTTCTGCCACCAATTCAGATCTGCTGTTGAGCCCATCTCATTAAATTTTCACTTCAGCTATTGTAACTTCTCAGTTCCAGAATGACCAATTTTAAAAAATAATTTCTATCTCTCTCTCTTTTTTTTTTTTGATGGAGTCTCGCTCTGTCACCCAGGGTGCAGTGCAGTGGCGCAATCTTGGCTCACTGCAAGCTCTGATCTCGGCTCACTGCAAGCTCTGCCTCCTGGGTTCATGCCATTCTCCTGCCTCAGCCTCCCGAGTAGCTGGGACTACAGACACCTGCCACCATGCCCAGCTAATTTTTTGTATTTTTAGTAGAGACAGGGTTTCACCGTGTTAGCCAGGATGGTCTCGATCTCCTGACCTCATGATCCGCCCACCTCAGCCTCCCAAAGTGCTGGGATTACAGGCGTGAGCCACTGCGCCTGGTCACTATCTCTTTATTAATATGTTCTGTTTGGCAAGAAATAATTCTCACATTTTCCTTTAATTCTTTAGACATGGTTTTCTTTAGCTCTTTGAATACATTTATAATAGCTTTCTAGTAAGTCCCCAAGTCTGACTTCCTTACGGATAATTTCTATTGGTTACTTTGTTCCTTTATATGAGTCATACTTCCCTTTTTCTTTCAGTGTTTTATGGTTTTTTGTTGAAACAGTAACATTTTAAATAATATAATGTGGTTACTCTGAAAATCAGATTTCTCCCTCCTCAGGATTTGTTGTTATTGCTGTTGATGATAATATCTGTTTAGTGCTTTCTTGGACTAATTCTGAAAAGTCTGCATTCCTTGTCATATATGGCCACTTAAGTCTCTGCTCAATTAGCTTACTGATTGAACAGTGATTTTAATAAATTTCTTAAACAATAAGCCTTCCACCCTTTGTTAAGGGTATTTTCTCTGTGTGTTGGGGGCACATATTCAATGCAATAACAGTTTAGATCTTCATTTTCTGTTTTCATGGGGCCTCAAGGTCAGCTAGAGGTGAGAGGTTGGGGCCTTCTCAGATATTTTGTAGGCATGTACACAGCCCTACAAAGATGCATAACTTTCTAGATCCCTGGAATACGGAAGAGTTTTTCAAAACCCTTATGAATGTTTTATTTCTCACGTCTTTCTTTTAATTTTTTTTTGGCCGGTCTCTTGTTTGTGCCAACTGGTAACATCACTTCAGGCAGTTGAGATGTTGAACAATTGCCATTGATTGTTTTTGACAAATGCCTTGGGGATAGGGCTTTTCCTACTGAGTGAGCTCTGAGTCAGGCCAAATAACAAATGCTCCATTGGGGATTTTCCCAGAAGCTGTTAGGTCTAATAGTGACAATACTCTCATGATGGAACTTTTTGAGAAACTTCAAATCCATTGTGTTCCCCTCTATAGTGGCTGCTGGTTTTCAAGACAACCATGGAAGTGGGGAGAGGAGAATGGGAATAGTGTGAGTTAAAATGCCACAAAACTGACCATTCTTATGATAGTTAGCTGTTCTTCTTGAATAAACATACCTTGCAAAGTTGTAAGCCTTTTATTAATTTCCAGAGTTCTGAAAAAGCTGATTTTGACAATTTTTGCCGAAGTTATTGGATTTTTTTAAATTAACAAAGCAATGGATATTCAAAGTCCTTATTTCATCATTCTGGGCCACACCCACTTTGATGCTGTGACCCCAGATATTGTGAAAGGAGTTGGTTGCTCCTCTTCCTTTTTCAGACTCTCTTGCAGACACAATTCTGATCAATAGAGAGCAATTATGCTACAGCAGTGTTTTTCAATCTATAGTTTGTGCTCTTTGTTTTAATTTTCAATGCATTTCAAACTGATATGTCTGTGAATTACAGAAAAAGGTAATTACTAACAAAATGAGAAAAAACAAGACATTCAAAATACAAGTCCTAATTTTTCATTATTAGAATCAACAGACATAAAATTTTACTTTTTTTTTTTTTCAGATGGAGTCTCACTGTCACCCAGGCTGGAGTACAGTGGCACAATCTCTGCTCCCTGCAACCTCCGCCTCCTGGGTTCAAGCAATTCTCCTGCCTCAGCCTCCCAAGTAGCTGGGATTACAGGCATGCACCACCACGCCTGGCTAATTTTTTTTGTATTTTTAGTAGAGTTGGGGTTTCACCATATCGGCCAGGCTGGTCTCGATCTCCTGACCTTGTGATCCACCTGCCTCGGCCTCCCAAAGCACTGGGATTACAGACATGAGCCACTGTCCCCGGCCAAAATTTTACTTTTAAAAATAAGCAGAATAAACAAAATAGAAAAAAAAAAGATTTATAAAAATCTATACACATTGTGCTTTGAAAATATGCATATAGGCAATTCATAAAGAAGATAACCAATATACTCATGATTTTAAGAGTTTTATTGAGATATGATTAACGTACAGTAAACTGCACATAAAGTATACAATTTGAGAAGTTTTGAAACATGTATATATCCACAAAATGATCACATCAAGATAACACACATAGCCACTACGCTTCAAACTTTCCTCAGGCCTCTTTGTAAGGCTTCTTTACTGCCCCCTTCTAAATCACATCCATGTCCACATTCCAATACAAATCCTGAAGTGTTTTCTGTCACTATGAATTAGTGTGTATTTTCTACAATTTCATATAAATAGAATCATATATATGTATTCATTTTCTGTCTGGCTCTTTTCATGTAAGATAATTATTTTGAGATTCATCCATGTGGTGTCAATAGTTTATTTGTATCGCTGAGTACTAATACATAGCATGGAAATACCACCTTTTTAATGCATTCACCTGTTGATGGACATTTGGATTGTTTCCAAATTTCGGCTATTAGAAATAAAGCTGCTGTGAACATTCATGGGCAAGTATTTGTATAGACACATGCCCTCATTTTTCTTGGATAAACACCTACAAGTAAAATGGCTGAATCATACAATAAAGGAATATTTAACTTCTTAAGAAACTGACAAACTGTTTTCCACACTAATTGTGCCATTTGGCATTGTCACCAGTTTCTCCACATCTTTGCCAACACTTCTTATGGTCAGCCTTCTAAATTTTAGCCATTCTAATAGATTTGTAGTGGTAAATCATTATTTTATTTTGCGTTTCCTAATGACTGTTTAATTTGAGTATCTTTCCATTTGCTTAAGTTCCACCTGCCTATCTTCTCTGATAAAGTGCCTGATAAGATTTTTTGTCCTCTTTTATTGAGTGGTTTCCTCTCTTATTATTGAGTTCTGAGAGTTCTTAATATTTTGGCTATAGATCCTTCATAAGATATACAATGTGTGAATATTTTATATCAATCTGTGGCTTTCTTTTAATTTTCTTAATAGTATCTTTTAAGTAGGAAAACTTAATTTAATTTTATTATTTATTATTTATTTATTTATTTAGAGATGGAATCTTGCTTTGTCACCCAGGCTGGAGTGCAGTGGTGTGATCTCGGCTCACTGCAGCCTCTGCCTCCTGGGTTCAAGCGATTCTCATGCCTCAGCCTCCCGAGTAGCTGGGATTACAGGTGCCCGCCACCATACCCGGCTAATTTTTGTATTTTTAGTAGAGATGAAGTTTCAACCATGCTGTCCAGGCTGGTCTTGAACTCCTGACCTCAAGTGATCCACCCACCTCTGCCTCCCAAAGTGCTAGGTTTACGTGAGTTAGCCACTGCAACCAGCTGGCAAAAGTTAATTTTAAAGTCAAATTTATCAACTTGTTCCTTTATGACTTGTGCTTTCAGTGCCATAGCTAAGAAGTCTGCCTAACCCCAAATCCTAAAGATTTTATCCTATGGTTTTTGCTGTTTCATTATTTTAAACTTTATATTTAGGTTTATAACACATTTTGAGTTAAATTTTGCACATGGTGAAAAATATAGATAGAAGTCATTTACTTATTTACTTTTTTTTTTTTTTACCTATGGCTATCCATTGTTCCAACAGTATTTCCAGAGAGAAAATCTTTTCTGCTTTGTGCTAACTTTATGCCTCTCTCTAAAACCAGTTAGAAAAGACCATATGTGTGGTCTGGACTCTCTATTCTGCTCCATAAATCTACTTGTCTGCCTAGATGCTAGGACTGCTCTGTCTTGATTACTGGAATTTTATAAGAAATCTTGAAATCATATATTGTTTGTCCTATAACGTTGTTCTTTTTCAAATTGTTTTAGCTATTTCAGGTTCTTAACATTTCCATATAAATTTTTGAACCAGTCTGTTAGTTTTTACAAAGAACATCTGCTTAGAGTTTAATTGAGATTGCATTAAGCCTACAAATTAACTTGGGGAGAACTGAGACCTTGAAAATACTGAGTCATCTGACAGATGAACACAGTGTATTTATACATTTAATTAGATCTTCTTTAAGTTCTCTCACCAGTGTTTTACAGTTTTCGGTGTGCTAATCTTTCATTCTTGCTGTCAGATTTTATCACTAAGTATTTCATATTTGTTAGTGCTACAGTAAATGTATCTTTAAAACTTTAGTTTCTGATTTTTTTTTTGCTATTTAAGAAATACTTGATTTTGTATGTTGATCTTGCAATGTTATGTCTTGCAATGTTATATCTTGCAATGTTGCTGAGCCCAATAATTCTCACATTTTTGTATATTTTATTAAATTTTCTGCATAGAAATCATGTCACTTATGAATAAGAACAATTTTACTTTTTTCCAATCTGAATGCCTTTTATTTCTTTTCTTCTCTTATTATGGTGGCCAGAGCCTCTAGTACAATGTTGAATAGAAGTAGTGAGAGCAAATAACCTCATCTCTTTCCTGATCTTACAGAAAAGCTTTCACTCCTTCAATATTACACATAATGTTGGCTGAAAGTTTCTTATAGATGGTCTTTATCAGGCTACAGAAGTTTCCTTCTATTCCTGGTTTTCTGAGAGTTTTCATCAGTGCTGTGCAATGGATTTTGTCAAGTACTTTTAAAAATCTATTTAGATGATCATATGGCTTTTCTTTTTTAGATTGTTAATATGGTGAATTACATCTATTGATTTTTAAATATTAAACCAATCTTGCATCCCGGGAATAAACTCAACTTGGTCATGGTTTATCTCCTTTTATGTGTTCTCAGAATCAACTTGGTAAAATTACATTAAGAATTTTCATATCTATGTTTGTGAAAGATATTATACCATAGTTTTGTTGTCTTTTGGCTTCAGGGCAGTGCTGACCTGACAGAAAAAATTAGGCAGCATTTCCTCTCTTCAGTTTTCTGGAAGAGTGTATGTAGAATTGATATTATTTAGTGAAGCCATCTTGTCTAGAGTTTTCTTTGTGGGAAGGTTTTTAAACTACAAATTTAATTTAATTTTTTTAATAGATACAGAATTATTCTGGTTATCCATTTATATTTGAGTGAATCTGGTAGTTACTGTCCTTTAAGGAACTTAACTGATTTTTACCTAGGTTTATTGACATAAAGTTGTTCATAATATTTTCTATGATCCTTTTCACATCTGTAGAATCTATGATGATGCCACCTCTCTCACTTCTAATTTGTGACTTACCTCTTCTTTCCTGATTAATCTGACTTGAAGTTTAATCATTTTACTGATCTTCTCAAAGAAGTAGATTTTGCATCATTGGTTTTATGTATTAATTTTCTATTTCATTGAATTATGTTCTTTATTGTTTTCTTTCTTTAGGTTCAGTTTGCTGTATTTTTTCTAGTTTCTTAAGGAGGAAGCTTAGATTACTGATTTGAACTATTTTTTCTTTTCTCATATAGTCATTTAACATTAATAATTTCCTCAAATCCTGTTATAGCATTAACCCCAAAGTAGTCTGTGCTACAGTTGGGGAGCGACCCAGCTTACAATATAAAACAAAATACCAGCACTCTCCCAATAGCAGTGCCTATGGGATCCACTCCAGGGCATCTCCTTGGAAGCAAAACTGCATTAACTCCTTCATGGCCATGCTCCTTTGGAAACAATCCATGGCAGAGTACTGTTGCTGAGTTTCATGCTGTCATGTACCGTATTAAAATAAAGTCCTAATGTGCTGCCCAAAGAGGCAGGCTGGCCCCCAAGACAAACAAATCAAGGATAGTTTCAAGCACTGGTGCTTATGTTTGTAAAAAATCATCTGGTATACCATGGGTTCATAGTTATCATCATTAATTGAACAGACACTTTGTGTCTGACAGTGTGCTGAGAGGTTCACCCTCACTATTTAATTTAAACTTTATAACAAACTTTGCAAAATGGTATGTCCTGCTGTAATACCAACTTTCTAGATAAGGAAACAGTCTTTTACAGCTAAGTGTTACAGCTAAGTTTATTCAGTGAGAAAGCAGCCAAGTTGAGATTTACCCTAAGAACTTTCTAACCCAAAAGCCATTCCATTTCTCTCCTCCAATGTCTGTTCACAGGCATACCTGCAGCCTGTGGGCGCTGACCTGGTGAGAATGCCATCGAAACTGTGGGGCACAGGAAAGACCGTGTGAAAGAGATCATTTGAGAAATTTTGAAAATCTCTCTATTGTGAAAAATGCCTCTGCTTAGAGGTTACTGGAAAGTTGCTCCTCTGACCCATGTCACTGCAGCAATGGTAGCTGTGGTCACAAAAGCAGCCAGCACCAAAGTGGCGCTTATGGCATCAGACAATCTCCTTATGTCTATGCTCCCTGCTATTATTTTCTATTCTCTGTAAACTCACATACACCTACACCCATGCACACCTATACACACCCACACACTACACACACTCACATCTAAGCCCACCCATCCACTACACACACACACTCACATCTAAGCCCACCCATCCACTAAACACACACCCACGTGCACCTACACTCACCCACCCACTACACACACATGTGCACATGTACACCCACCCACCCACTACACACACACCCACACACACCTACGCCCACCCTCCCACTACACATGCACATCCACTCACACCTATGCCCACCCATCCACTACACACACACCCACGTGCATCTACACTCACCCACCCACTACACACACACATGAACACATACACCCACCCACCACACACACATCCACTCACACCTATGCCCACCCATCCACTACACACACACATACACCCACCCACTATACAGACACACACACACATGCACACACACAGTGTTTCACTCTCAGAGAAAATGTAAATAAAGGTTAAGCTAAATAATCATGAGTTCATAGGTAAAATACTGGAATCCAGTAAAGTTGGCTTAAAGATGGAAAATTGTTTAAACACACACACACACACTCACAACCTGCCACTGCCTTGCACCTGTCATGAAAGGCCACCATTCCAAGTGGAAGGCAAGGAAGCACATTTGAGCTAACATAATATCCCAGCTTTTTCCCAGGCTAGGTCAATGTCTACCAGATAATTACTCATTGTAGACGTGTCTGTGAGCTTGACTTTATCTATCATTTATGTTTGAAAATCAATCTGTTCATTCAAAAATGAAAGTGTTTCATTCCTTTTTTACTTTTCCTTCCAGTCTGAAATGTTGTCCATATTGTCAGCTATTCTGGAGCTGTTTAAATTAGTGCAGGTTTTTTATTGAGTGTCAAATACACTCTGGGGATAGGCTGGCCTCACAGTTACCCAACGTGCTCAGCCAGGTCCTGGGAATTTGTGAGACAGGGAAACACCATTGTTAATAAAAGGTTTTCGTTATTAAGAGCTTATCTGAGATCCCTCCTCTTGCCTCTGATTTGCCCTCTGTGAGCTGGCTGGGGGGTTTTGTTCTCCTCCTTTGGGAAGGCAAGAGTTTTGTTCCAGGATGTGAGCTTTTCAGAGAGTTAGAGACATTTACTCAAACCTCCAGCTGGAATGACCTTTATAGAGCAGGCAGGGCACTGTCAGCTGATATTTCAAAAATGGCAGAAACCTGCTGATTCTTGCCTGTCTCCAAAGAAAAATTCAAAAAGCAGAGTGTCCCCAGGCCATTTGGCAAGTGTTTGGTCACCCCAGGAGCTCTTATTACACACATGCATACCGTGCACACCTACCCCAGGAATAAGGCTGAAGTATCAGATTGTCTCAAATACACCTTGTCTTCCACTTAGATCCAGGGCCTTCATTGCAGGTGCAAGGCAGAAGGGCAGGAAGTGTGCCCCCAGCTTGCCTGGCGGGAACTGGATATGATTAAAGTTAAACCATTAAACCTCCACATGTGTGTTTGTGCAATGGCGTGGTCCGAGTCTCAGGATGACAGGCACGTGGCAACAATCTCATATCTCTGTTTCTTCCAGGGTTGAGGAGACCTACACCACCAAGGTCCAAGAGAATCAGAGGCCAATGGCAACCTAGGCATGGCTGAAAGCTCACCCCCCTTCCTCCGAGCAGTGCTGAGGGGCACCCAAAGCATCTCCCAGAATGAACTGTCCATTCCACCCCTCCCTTTCCAGAGATGTTGGGTTTGCATCTCTTTTAGCAGAAAGGTTGTCACCCCCAGCCACCCTCCTTTGGACCTTGGTGCTGCAGCTGGTGCCACACCACTTCACCAACCTGGTTTCCGTGCCCCCCACATGTGTGCGTCAGGGGTCTCTCTTCAGCCCCAGGACTTTCTCCTAAGCCTCAGATAGTAGCTTTGTCCGGGCACACACAGCCCTGGAATGGGGACCCTCAACCAAGGGGAGCCGGAAGTCAGTGGGAACTACCTAGCTTTCTGCCCTTGGGAGAGAGAACTATGAGGCGTATTCTTTCCAGTTCCTCAGAAACCCTCCAGCAGAGCTGAGCCGCGTTGCCCACTGCAGTAGCCAGCCCGATAACATAGTCCATGTTGACTTTCTTCCCTTTTGGTCTTCTGTTTCCCACTGCTTCCTGCGATTACTTTCCATGGAAGCTACCTGCATTCACACGTGTGTTTCAGGCTTTGCTTTCAAAATAACTCAAAACAGATACCACCCCAATGTCCTTGAGGTTGGGCCTATGTACATGTGAACAAAATGACCAGTTGGCCAGGTCGCTTCTGCTAATTCTCCACCACTCGATGAAGTGGAAGAGAAGGTCAGTCAGTGGTTATTTGAATACACAATGGGCCCAGTTATTTGAATGAATGGTGGTCTTGTATTTATTTTTAATGCAATGGGAGGATGAATGTTGCTTCCTCTGAGTGGTTTTCCTCCCTGCATGTGTCCCATTGGACTTGAGATCTGCTTCGGGAATCTCTGATTCAGGACCTCCCCTTTCACTCGGCTTCCACCATGTCTGTCTGTGAGGCTCCAGCCATCCAAGTCAGTGGCCAGAGCTCTCTGAGAACAGTAAGGGGTGTCTAACACCTCTCTACCACCAGCCTCTCTTCCTTGAGCACTGACCCAAAGGGCAGCTTCAGTCCTGCAGCTGCTGGTTCTTCTGCTGGAAACAGAAGGCTGTCACACTACTGTTGCTCCCCTGGCCAGTGGAAGACACAGCCACCCCCTTAGAAAGCACAGAAGTGGTAGAGCCATGCCAACGTGATCCTTAAACTCAACCAAGTGCCCCAGAAGTAGGTAACACCAGCCATGAGTGGAAGTCAGCAAATACGGTCTGCCCAAAGATAATACCATAATGATAGTATTAAAATGGATGTTGCGTGAGGGACAATTCATTTAAATGTTTTTCTGGCTTTATTGAGGCATTATTTACATATAATAAAATTCAGGCATTTGAAATACACACACGGTACAGTTAACACACACTGTAGTGCCCGGTATGGTGAGTTTTGGTTATTTTATAGAGCAGCCATCACCACAATCAAGATCTGGAACATTTTCATCACCCTAGAAATTTCCTTGAGTCCCTGTGTAGCCGATCCCCTCTCCTGGCCCCAGCCCCTGGCAACTGTTAAGGACCTTTATGCCACTATAGCTTTGCCTTTTCTAGACTTTCATATAAATGGAATCAAGTGATATGTAATGCTGTGTGTTTGACTCCTTCACTGAGCAGAATGGTTTTGAGCTCCATTCATCTGTGGCTTGTGTTAATGCTGTGTTCCTTTCTATTGCTCAGTAGTTTCATTGTATAGATATCCCAGACTTTATTTATTTAGCAGCTGATGGGCCCCTGGGTTCTTTCCAGTTCTTGCTTATTTGAATCATGCTGCCATGAACGTTCGCATTTGAGTCTTTGCATAAACTTAGCAGTCATTTCTCTTGGGTAAATACCCAGATGTGAATTTCTGGGTCATGGTTAAGTACATATGGCCACACAGTTTTCCAAAGTGGTTGTGCCAATTTGCCATGAGTATAGAAGAGTTCCTGTTGCCCCTCCTCCTCATTAACACATGATATACTCAATTTTTTAACTTTAGCCATTCTAGTAGGGGTATAGCGCTATCTCAGTGTGGCTTAATGTTGAGTACCTTTTCATGCACTTACTGTTCAGCTAACATTGTTGTTAAGCAATATCCTGAAATATTCTTTTTTTTATTTTTTTGAGACAAGTCTTGCTCTGTCACCCAGGATGGAGTGCTGTGGCATGATCCTGGCTCCCTGCAGCCTTGACTTGGGATCAAGCAATCCGCTCACCTCAGCCTCCCTAGCAGCTGGGTCTAGAGGCATGCACCACCACACCTGACTAATTTGTGTATTTTTTGTAGAGACGAGGCCATTTCATGTTGCCCAGGCTGGTCTTGAACTCCTGGGCTCAAGCCATCCGCTGGCCTCAGCCTCCCAAAGTGCTGAGATTACAGATATGAGCCACCATGCCCAGCCCTGAAATATTCTTAAGGGATGCACCGACCCTAAGGCCGATGTTATTCCCCTCAATTTGCAGATAAGATCTGAGGCACAGAGTGGCTGCACAATTGCCTTGCATTCCTTTTGGCAGAACTGGGGCTGAAGCTTCCTAGACTGGGCCACATGTTCTCCACTGCTGGGAACAACTGTTCTTAAAGGGCCTTGCAGACATATTAGTAACCTCAAATGGTGACAGACTGGCTGCACATTTTGACATTAATATGTTGTCATAGTTTGACATAAATAGAACTATTCAATATTACTACTTTTTTTCTTTTAAGCTGTGGAGCCTCTAACCATTCCTACCAGACTTAATAAATGGCACTGCCACGTGCTTAATTAGTAAGTGTTGAGAGTTACTTTGCTGTGAAGTATTCCCCTCCACTATCTTGGCCCATGTAGCATTTATAGGAAGGAAGCTTTCCATTTGTCCTCCCTTATCCTGGGAGCACACGGAAAAGGTCCAGGTCACTCAATCCTCCCTCCCCTCTTGGTTGATGGCCAAAATGCTTTCTGCCCTGGTAGAGTTGATCCTTTAACTAGAAACTGTAAGCCCAGTGCGAGTAAATGCCTAACATTGCAAACAGAGATGCTAAAAAGGGAACCTTTGTGACACACGCATCCTGCAGGATGTAGGGACGAGTGAATGGAAGAGAATGGGGTGGGGTGAGGAGTGAGTTCTACCTGCAGGAATGAAATGAAAGACCTGAAGCTGCTGGGCTTCCCAGCCAGCCACTAGGAAACACACTGGAGCCAGAGGTAGGTGAATATTTCTAATCTCCTAGAAAAGGCAATTAGGAGTGTGGGAACCACGGGAAAAGAAATTTCCATCTTTTTTGACTCTCTGTTCTCTCCCACACTTGTCATTCCTACCACCTTGTCTATTTCCTTGTTTTTTTTTTTTTAAGTTCTCTGAAATGAAAAAGTCTTATAGACTTGTTTTTAGGAGAAGTTATAGGAGATGAGCCCTGGGATATAGCTAATTTAGGGGGAAGAGCAGATGGTTTTAAAAAGGCAAAAAGGAAACTAACCTTCTGAGACTTGAAGAAAAGAGGCGATTTATACCACGGTGATTAGGAGAGCAGCCTGCTGTCCTAGTCATGTTTGTGCGTGCGTGTGTGTGTGTGTGTGTGCCTGTCTGTGTGTGTGCATGCATGTGTGCATGGTGTACATGTGGATGCGTGCGTGCACCCTTGTGTGTATGAGTGCAAGCATGTGTGGGGACGTGGGTCTACATCTGTGTGTTTGTGCGTGTGTGTGGTGTGTGCATGTGTATTGATGAGTGTGGAGAGGAGGGGTCATGTGTGAACATTCCAGAAAACATATCACTTTGGTTCTCAGTGGTGATTTACTCTTTGGGGTGAATTAACTACATTCATACATGGAGAGCAGTACTTAACGAGGATGGAGGAGGAAAGTTCATGGGCACTGAGTGTTGAGGAGGAAACCAGATGGCCGGAAAGGCTTCAGAAGACTCTCCTCTCGGTTTTGGCTTTCAGGTCTTTGTGGTTATATTCTGTGCTTTTACTTTAGAACTGCCTAAAATATCACGACTCTCTCAGAAATCCACTAGTCACTGCCCAAAGTCAAAGAATCTTTGCTCCATTATTTTCTTTTAAAATGTTCGTTGCTTTTGTTCCCTATCTGCATGGTTACATTTACCCTGGAGCTCCGTGTACTATGGCCTGCTAGGCGGCTGTCTCCACCCAGTACAACTTGAGAATCCACTAGGGAGCTTTTGCACACCCACCCCAAGGGTTGGGACCTGATGACCAGTCTGGGGTGCACCCTGGGCATGGCTGGGCATGGAACTTTGAAAATCTGCCCAGGGGATTCTCAGAGATAGCCGTGGTTGAGGGGACCACTGGCTAAGAGAAAGGATGAAAGCAAATGCAGGCGTTGATTCCTGAAACCTGGGGAATGCCTGCAGTGAGGGGGAAAAGGGTAACTTGGATTTCCTACTAAGTCTCTTTACTCCTTTGTCGTGCAGGTATTTGGATGCCCCACTGTCCCAAGACTATGGGATTATCTTCCTCCCACTGTCATTCATATTTACACCTCTGTGGATGGGTGAAGCATTAATACAGACTTTCAGTGAACTGAACTGAGCAGTTAAAAACAAAGCCGGATGAATGACAAGATGTGAAAAGAAGCAATCCCTTCAGATTCTTTTATCTTGCTTGCTTTAAATGTTCAAACACCCAAACAGGCTGATAAATTAAGATTTCATGGAAAGCTGTGCGTAGCTTTCAGCCACAGCAATAGTCCGAGGTTCTAGTTCTCTGGTGCCAATAATAAAATCATTTCAAATGCAAATAAAAAGTCAGTGTTGAAAATGACCAGTTTAGAAAAATTGTGCTATAGTTACCAGCTCTCATACAAACAGTGCCTGAGAAAGTCAGATCGCAGTCTATAAACAGGCTATATTTAGATGACTTCCAATCCCAGTGTGTTCCCAGACCTGGTCAGAGCTAGGCAGCTTCCCACTTGGTCATTTTTGTCCAACAGGGTCTTGTCCCCTTGTAATCTGTGAATCCTCCCTTTTCCCAGGCTCCCAGGGAGACCGTCGTGTGGTTGCCCATCCTGCAGAGCCCCACCCAAGCAGGACGGCTGCCAGCCCCTGGGCAGTGCTGGACCTCGGGCTGTGAGTTCAGCTGAGCTGCGTGATCCAGATGAGCTGCAGATTGTCCACAGGCTGCCACCCAGACGCTGGGTCACAGGGGCTCCCCCTGTGCTTTATTGAGACTGGTCAGCCCTCCGCCACTCCTAAGAAAGAAGATCCTTGACAGGTCCTCGACTTCTTCTCCATCACTGGGCCATGGTGTGTCCAGATTTTGGAAAGAGAGAAAAGAGAAAAAAAAAAGTCCATCCACCATCTCAAACGTGTCTGCACCTCGCTTGCAGGTGGACAAAAAGCTCCTGTGAGGTTTCCGTTTTTGGCATGTCATCTCTCTAGAGACATGGTCCCTCTAAATGAGGAGGTGATCTGGACCCCTGCTGGACCGAGGCAGCTCCCCACTTTGCCGAGGCCTAAACAAACCCAAACAGGACATGCAAGATCAACAAATGCCAACCAGCCACACAGCTGAAGCAGAAACGCAGAAAGCTGTGCACCAGGAAGAAGCGTGACCTTCAAGAATCTGCCCTCGCGTATACAAGCGACATTGGTCCTGCCTGACATGACAAACACACAACCCCCCACACACAAACACACAAACACACACACATGCACACAGACATATACACACACACAGAGACGGACATACAACCGTGGTATAAAAACACACACACACCCAGGCTGCCCCTGAGGCTGCGGGGTTCTGCGGCTGCCAGGAAGCCCCTCTGGGAAGAGAGCAGCCCATGGCCATACAGGCAGGCCAGCCCTCGAAGTCACAGTGGGACGATCTCAGGGGAGACTCATCCACACATCACCTAGGCAGGACTGAGACAGGGATCCCGCAGTGCATCACTGGGGCTCTGATTGACGTTTGTTCATCCTGGTCGGCCCTCTGCGACTCCTAAGATCCCAGGACCATCCCGGCGACACCCTGGAAAAAACAGGCCACAGCAGCACGACACTGAGGCACTGCCACAGAAGGCTCCTGCTGTGCTGATCCTCAGGAACTCACCCTCAGGCAGCGGAAGCAGGCGCTGTGACCAGGCTCTCTAGCAGGTGGAGTGAGTGTGTGTCTCCGAGGAGGTATAGAGCCATTCCAAGACTGACGACCCCCTCACCAATAAAGTGAAGGAAAGGCCAAGCACACCTGAGGACCCCAAGAGGGCCACACTGGGGTCCAAGCCACCTTCAGGGATGCCTGCCAGAAGACCCAAGACGTTCCTGTGATGTGCCAGCCACTCCCACCCCTATGCTGGTGACAGCACACACACCCTCAGCTGCAGCAGGCCAACCCTCAGTCCACTTGGCTCAGTGAAATCCGTGGCAGTCAGAAGACTTAGTGCTGGGAGGCAGTCCCACCCGGGAGCAGAGGGGCTGGATATCCCTCAAGAGTGGCGAAGGCACTGTAGATGCCAGGAAACTCCACCTTTCTTAGAAGGCAAAGGCCAGCCACGCTTGGCTACCGCTCATCCTATAGGGTCATGCCGCCGTCTGCTTGAACCCTGGAGACCAAGGGAATGTCTGTGTGGGCGACAGGTATGGAAACCCAGAGCTCCAGGATCCTCCCACCTGCCCAACCATGCAGAGAGAGGTTTGGAGAAGGAAAAAAAGATCCCGGATGAACTGGGAAATGTGGCTGGTTGAAGACTCTGAGCCAGATCAAGAAAAATTGAGGCCCAGCAGGAACATGGAAGACAGAAAAAGGGTGAGGGCAGTGTAGACAGAAAAAGAGCAAGGCAGAACGCAGCAAGGCCACTGCCGTGTGGAGCTGGGAATGAGTGCCCAACCGGCGGCCTAGCCAGAAAGGCCACAGTTGGAGGAAAAGAGATCCTTGCCAAGTTCTCAGCTTCTTCTCCATCGTTGGGCCATGATGTGGCTAGATTTTGCAAGGAGAGGAAAAGGGGAAAAGGAGTTCCATCCACCACCTTGGACATCTGTCTGAACCTTTCTTGAAGCTGGACAGGCAGCTCCTCTGGGGTTTTGGTTCTTGCGTGTGTCATATTCCCTCTAGAGAAGTGACCCCTTGGGATGGGGAGGTGATTTGGACCTTCACCCAACGGACGCAGCTCCCCACTTTGCCACGGCCTAAAGAAATTTTTTTTTTTTTAGATGGAGACTCACTCTGTCACCAGGCTGGGGTGCAGTGGCGCAATCTTGGCTCACGGCAACCTCTGTCTCCTGAGTTCAAGTGATTCTCTTGCCTCAGCCTCCCGAGTAGCTGGGATTACAAGCACGCACCATCATGCCCAGCTAATTTTTGTATTTTCAATAGAGACGGGGTTTCACCATGTTGGCCAGGATGGTCTTGATCTCCTGACCTCGTGATCCGCCCACCTCAACCTCCCAAAGTGCTGGGATTACAGGCGTGAGCCACCACACCCGGCTGGCCTAAAGACATTTTAATGGGAAGCACACGATAAACAAATATTAACCAGCCACACAGCACGAGTGGAAACGCAGGGAGCAGAGCATCAGAAAGAAGGCTGGCTTGAAAGAATCCGCCCTTGAGTATACAAGACACATTGGTCCTGCCAAACACCCCCCACCCCCGCACGCGCACACACACACACACACACACACACACACACACAGAAACACACACACCCAAACGGACATATAACCGTGGCACAGGAACACACACATACCCAAGCTGCCCCTGAGGCTGTGGAGTCCTGCTGCCGCAAGCAAGTTCCTCTGGGAAGAAAGCAGCTCACGGCCACACAGGCAGGCTGGCCCTCGAGGTCACAGCGGGGAGAATCTCTGGGATACTCATTCACATACTGTCTAGGCAGGCCCGAGGCAGGGATCCCACGGCGCCTCCCCAGGGCTTTGCTTGACCTCGGGGATTCAGGGTGTCTTTCCTCTACCGGCTCCCAATCTCCCTCTAGGTGGTGAGGGCTGGCAGGGCCGTTTGTGGGGGGCAGAGCAGAAAGAAGAAGTATAGTAGAGGTTGTGACTCCCTGGGAAGGTGAGGGCTCATGTGAGCCTATACTGAGTAGATACACTGAGTAGATTCTGACTAAGGACGTCCACGAAGTTATGTTCTTTCCTGAGATGCCACAAAAAGTCATCACCAGTCTGTAAAACTCCCAGGCAGAGGGTGTGATCGTCACATTAATCAAAAAGCAGGCAGCTCTACCACCTCGTACTCATCAGGATGGCCTCTGTCAAAAATCCAGAAACAACAACGTTGGGGAGGACGTGGAGAAAGTGGGCCCTTCGGAACCGCGGGTGGGACGGAAAAGCTGTGCGGCCGCGCGGAAATCTGTACAGTGGCTCCTCCAAAAATTAAACGGAATCACCACGTTATCCAGCAATCCTCTTCCGGGTATATATCCAAAGGAATCGAAAGCAGGGTCTCAAGGAGTTACGTGTACACCCGTGTTCACAGAAGTGTTATTCACATTAGGCAGAAGGTGGAAACAACCCAAGCGTCCATGGATCCATGGACAGATCAATGGATAAGCAAGACGTGATGGGTGCGTATGATGGAACGCGACTCACCTTAACAGGGAGGGAAACCCTGACACGCTACAACGTGCATGAGCCTGGGGGACATCCTGCTAAGTGTAGTAATCCTGTGATAAAAAGGATAAACGTTGTGTGAGGTTCCTAGTGGTCAAATTCACAAAGACAGCAACTGGAACGGGGGAGAGAAGATGGGGAGTTGGTGTGTAGTGGGGCCAGAGTTTCCATCTAGGAAGAGGAGAAAGTCCCGGAGATGGATGACGGTGATGGTTGCATAGTAATGTGAATGTACTTAATGCCATTGAACTGCACACTTAAAAAAGGTTAAGAGGGTCCATTTTATGTTAGGTGTATCTTAGCAGAACTAAAGCAAAACAGAAGGCAGTGTTAAAAACAGTGGATGACGAGCTCTCAAGGTGGTGGAGGCCATCGCCCACTTCACTTGGGGGACCCCTGCTCTCAGAAGCACACACTTCACGGGGTCACCTGGTGTTCATGCCGGCGACCTTTCTCTCCCTGCCTGTGGCCTGGCCCCAGGTCAGCATTCACCAGGTGGGGAGAGTCTGTGCAGCGCGGCGTGGGCCTTGCACGCTCCTTTTTGTGTTTGTTTGGGTTCTACTTTTCCGGACTGCGACACTTATAACTTCATTAGAAAATATCACTTTCTTCAGACCCACACATTCATTTATTAGGCACTTACGCTCCATAAAATGAAATGCACAGCAAGGCCGCTTTCATGCTTCCTTGAAGTTCTATCAACTTATTTTGGGGGCAGATTTGACCTGTCAGAGCACTTCCTCCGTGGGAGCTCCATATCTAAATATGTGCATATATAGTTTTCTACTTTACTGACGGTAGCTTTCATAAAGCCGCTT